>NC_000004.12:92860774-93163805 GCF_000001405.40 Homo sapiens | reverse complement strand
AAGCCACAGTCTACTATTTCTGCCCAAACTTATTTTCCAGACTAGTAGCCACTCCTACCAATGTTACATGACATTGTTCCTTAAGTAATTAAAATTTCATATGGTTTTACTTCTTTTTTTGGCTAAATATTTAATGACAGCCCATCATAAAAAATATACAGTCATAAGAAATGTCTATTTTGAACTACTTCTCTTTTTTTAAATTCTGCTAAATTTTTTTCTTGTTATTAAAAAAAAAAAACTGGCAAGTGCAGTGATTCACACCTGTAATCCCAGCACTTTGGAAGACTGAGGTGGGAAGATCACTTGAGCCCAGGAGTTTGAGACCAGCCTGGGCAAGATGGCAAGACCTCGTCTCTATTTAAAAGAGAGAGAGAAAATATACATGTATGTATATATATAGTGTATATATATATATATATATATATATATATATATATATATATATACACAAAAAAAAAATCAGAAGTGGAAAATAAAGGCATTTATAATCTTACTGTCTTGAGATAACCACTCTTGATATTTTGGTTTATATGCTCCATAATGTTCTTAGATTAATGCACATAAAAATTAAATCACATTGTGGGGCTGTTAAATACACATATAATTTGTATATGTATTTAAATAACACATCTTGACAGAAAAATGTTAATATTAATTCTAAGATATTTGTTTACAACAAATGTATACACACAACCTGAAAGGAATGTGTATGTTATTTACCATGGAATATTTTTGATTTTTTAAAAAAGAGGATACTTCCAAGATGTGTGTTTTAAAGTAAATGTATAAAACAGAAAGAAGCAGATTCAAAAGAGTTGCTAAAACTATTATGCTCTAGAAAATGCGGTAAGTGCTTTTATTCCTGTGTGGGCCAGCATGAATGAATACCAGCCCTTCTCTTTTCTCTTCATTTAATCTTGCACAGCATTCAATATTGTGTTTTGAGCTGTCTCATATTGCCTCTTGGGTGTTCTATTATCTTTCTTATTTGACCATGATGAAGATGGAACTCCTCATATTTCCTTCAAAATTCTTGCTTCTTTCTAATTATTGGTACAGTCATCATTCTTTCTAGGATACCCTTCTCCAGATAGCACATTTTAACATTTCAAGGAATTCTACATGTAAAATGTATGTAACAGACAAAAATGATTCCAGGTTGATGATGTACCTGTAAAATAAATTCATTAGTCCAGTTGTATAATGATAAATTATGGGTTGCTAAGCTTACAGACAAGATTTTATTAAATTATAAAGTTGTTAAAAAGGAATATACAAACACACACTGATATAAAGAAAACACAAGAAGGAAGCTACTGAGCTGAAGCACAATATTTTTATTCCTCGCTAACACAGGCCTATCCTTATTTAAATCTCAACAATTTGAAGAAACTACTATGTGGTAAGCTGACATGTTTATTATATTTTAAAGGAGCTTCTATGTCACTAATAGGCATGAAAATTGTAACTAATTTAATTCAGCGTTAATTCTTCAATAAATGTATTTGAATATATACAATTTAATTAAGCACTGTCTTCATATTCAGTGTTAATTTATGGTAACTTATTACAATTCTGATAAAATTGTTATCTGTCAGTCTGCCTAAGATTTTTTTCATTCCAGAGGATTCAGAGATCAAATTTCTAAAATTCACAAAGAATAAGGAGGGCTTTCCTCAAATGGGATGCTTTCCACTATGACAGTCCTAACATGATCATCATGAGAAAAACCTCAACTGGCCTGTTCCAAAGAAATGTTATTAGGATTTCAAGGCTTTTCTGGAAATGTTAGGGAGATCATTTTTTGGAAATATATTAGAAATTGACTAAATTGCTGCCATAGTCAAAATAAAAATTGGAATGTCTTAAAAATTAAATTCCAGCAGATTTTATGAGATAAAAAATTAGAAATAACTATAGATATTAATAAGAAAAACTTAAAGTATAAAAGAAAACATAATTGGTAAAAACTTAAAATATTTTTAACTTTAGTAAGCACAATTTACACTGCAAAAATTGCAGGAAGGGGGGAGAATTTTGCTATATTAAAAATAAAACTTATAAGGCAAACTGGAATTGGAGATGATAGTTTCAGTCACATAAAAACTATGATTTACACATTTTTAAAATTGTTATTTTTTTTACCCTGAAAATCTTAGTGTTGAGTCTGGTGCTTAATCTTCACAGTATTTCAAAATCTGGTCTAAAGACCACATGAACGATAATTATGTAGTAAGTTTGTTAAAAATATAAATTACCATGTACAGCTAATTATTTAAAAACTATTTAGGGCACAGCTGTAATAGAAAATAAGGCATTAAAAAGGATGTGGGAATTAGAAGCTCAAATTCCTTCAAATATTAATTAAGGCCTTTCCTAAGAAAGTAGTGAGATATACTCAGTTCTAAACTCCAGTAATAATGAAGAATGTGAAGAAATTCAGAAAGGTCACAGAAATGATGAGAGGCTGGAAAATTACATTTCTGCTCAAACCTCAGAAGTTAAAGGCAAAGCCATACTTCTATTGCTTGATTTCTAAGAGGTCAAAATTCTGCTAGGGCTTAAATAAAAGTTTCTCAGAATCTCTCTCTTTCCCTTTCTCTGTCATTGCAAATATATGTACTGTTCCTTAAATCCTTTTTAAATTTGCATTATGATGTAAACTTTTTCCAGTAAAATAAGGAATAACTTTTGTCAAAGACTGAGAAAATGATGACTGTATGATATGCTACCGCTACAGTCCTAAACAGCCATTAGCTTCACCTGCCCTGACATGGAGCCTAGTACTGTCACCATATACATCATTTCTTTAGACTGAGGCAGTTTTGCAACTGGACATTTTATTTTTTCTTGGCCATCATTCAGTGTTAATACCATTCTGGTGTAGACAAAGTGTTGTCAAATTTTAATGCATATAAAAATCTTGTTAAAATGCAGATTCAGGTTCAGTAGATCAGCTTGGTGCCTAAGAATATGCATTTCTAGCTAGTTCCCAGGTGACAGTGATACTACTGGCTTATGATCCACACTAATATCAATTTACTTATGAGCCCACAATTTACTAATAACAGCTCTATTAGAGAAATGCCTACACGATACAGAATGAACCCATATTTTATCCCATTAAAGAGGGCTAACAAGTGTCCTAATTGTAGACAGCGGAATGGGATCTTCCTAAGGAGATTGCTCCAGTATCTTTTTGAGTGCTATGATTTCGCAGAGGAGAGGGGAAAGGAACCTTGCCAAAAAGCAAAGGTAGAGGGGGACTTGGAGGACACAGAACACCAATTTCACTGAAAACACAATTTTTTAGCATTGTCATCACTCAAAGAAATTGGATTTGGGCTAATAAGGTAAGACTAACAAAATTATATTTGTTTAGCTATTGTCACTTTTATCTCTTGAAGTAAACAAACTTTTTTTTAAGACTCGAGACGAACTGGAAAACTTTATTTTTTGTATTTTTCATTTGTGGTTTTTCAAATAATTTTTTCTTAAGCATTCAATGATATTACCTTATCTATATTGATTACTGTACAAATTTTAGGCTTTATGGAATTAATAATCATGACCTGTGTTTCACAATTCTTGTTTCCTTGTCAATCCAAAAAGGAATGCTCATGGCCTGTGTTTTACAACTCACGAATTATCCATACAGTTTTCCCATGTGGAACAGAATATGTATTTTATCTGGTATTGTTTAACTGTGAAAATATGTGCCAAAGATTATCTATATATCCTTTGAGTTACAGATAGATAACTCATTCTATTCTCATTTCATAATGAATACCTAAGTTCAAACACATTCTAGGATAACAACTGAGATGTGAGTGACTTCTACGGGAATGAGATGATCAAACTGTATATATTTTTGCCTTTTCAAAAATAAAATAGCTACAGAAATTCACTAGTATTTTTTAAATAATGGAATTAATTCTACTTTAGTTTTGTACAATTATCCTACCCCCATCTTGTCTTTGTAACTCAAAATTCAATTTTATTTGATGCATCTAGTGATTTGTACTGATAATACTAAATAAATGATGTCTTTGCTAAGAACTTAATCTCTAGAAGTACACTGAAACAGAAAAGCAAAAAAAAAAAAAAAATGCAGATGGAAAAAAATTCTTATCTGTCTTATTTTCAGTGTTTAAAATGAAAAATAATGAAATTAAAAAACTTAATCCTCTCTAAGTGTTACAGTAGCTAAGACTCTTCTGTATTAGTAATCTTTCTTTTACTATATCAGCTTATTATAAAAAAGATAAATGAGATAAATTTAGGTGCACAGGAAATGGCAGATTGCTCATCCTCAATTCCTTTTCAAAAGCACTAAAGAGACAGAATAGGCATGATGAAGGAGCATCCTATCTGCAATATAAGCAAATGACTGGATGACTCAAAAACACTCAATAACTTGAATACAATAATCTTATGTTGCTTTTCTCAGCACTATGATTCTTAGCTTCTACAGATAGTCCTGGATCCAGCACTCCTTGAAACATTGGTTGGAAGTAAAGTTATGGGCTCAGATTAGCCTGCCAGTCAATAACCTTACAGAGTCGGCCTTATTGATTCTTTAGTAATTTGACCAGTACAAGTACAATCATCTATTTCCTCAAGCCATTTCATTCTTTTCCACTGTGTAGGTGGAGGCCAGGCAACTGCTAGGAAATTTAGCACAGCTTGCGAGGAGTATTTTATGGGGACATGGACTCAGCCACCAGTAGAAAAAAAAAAAGCACAAACTGATGATACCATTAAAATATTGTTGCCAAGTAATTATATAGTACAATTCCATAAGGCAAGAATAATGGCCAATGAATCTTTGTACCAAAGCAACATAAAAATGAGTGGTTTTTAAATGTAACATTTAGAGTCAGTCTAGAATCAGGTCTAAGCTCAACTTAATAGCACTGTTATCTTCAGCACCTTCTGAAAAAAAAAAGTCTTATAAAGTCATTTATTGTTTGGCAAATCTGTTGGTGTAAACCTCTTCATTCAGTCTCATCTGAGACACAGACTTAGGTTTCCCACTTCATAGAATAATCTACACATATTCCACATTCTGTCAAAGACAGCTGGAGTTCAAATAATTGCTTTGCCAAACTCGAACTCCAGAGCTCTTCAAATGGTAGATCGTTGTATTCCTAGATGTAGGTATTTGTGTGTGTGTGTGGTTTTAAAATCATTTATTTAACAAAGGAGTAGAAGTTCAGAATTACAAAAAAAATGCAAATATGACAGATATGGAAATGACTTTTCTGCAAGGTAAGGTAGTATGGTAGAAATTGAGAGTTTTAAAAAACCACATATGTACCTGGCCCTAATAAATTGATTCAACCTTCTCCTTTCTCTTTCCCCAGCATCACACTAAATGAAAAGCTATCATGTGACAATGAGAAGCAAAAACAGATTTAGATAATGGTACTATTGGAGGCTTCACCTACTTCAAAAGAATTTCATGTTTTAAAAGGCACATATCAAGGATAAATGTAAAATGATAAAACTTCTCATGAAGAGTATTCGCTGCTTCAGCTCTCTATACAAACATACATTATTCTCTATCCCTCCCTAGCTCCTGCATAACGAATTGCAGCAGAGAACACAAATTATCTTTCCCTCTAGTGGCAGAAAAGTCTGCAAAATGACATATCTCACAAATGGTGAAAACAAACAAAACTGACAACTTTTGCTGTCACCTTAAAGAAAATGCTGTGTGATTGAGAAAGTTGTGTAATAGAGGATGACTAGTTTGCATTTATTAACATATAGCTTTCTTTATGTCCTAAAATAACACTACATGTGCAACTGTAGTCATGCTTGGCTTAACGCTCTGTTATTTCTGTCTTAAAATTTTAATAATTTTATGTTTGAGCTTGGGTTTTGTAAGTGAAATCTGATGGGACAATGAAACATGAATTTAAGCAAAGAAGATACGTATAATATGTATGCCTATCAGTCTTTCCTTGTTGCCTCATTATCATACAGCCTTTATGATGCCACATAAGCAGAATTCTGGTGTAGCGAGAGAGCATGAGAGTTCAGCAAGTCTCAAAGTGAGTACAGAAGAGTATTTGCATCTAAAAATGACAACATAGAAACAAAGGTAAGATAAGGTGAACATACTTCCTTTCCTTTCATTCATCCTTAGTAATCAGTAAAGCAAAAGAGTAGATAGTATTGATAGAACATGCATGTATCAGGAAATAAAGTAAAAACTAGTTTTGTGCAGCGTTTCTACTTTTCCAGTAAGAATGAAAGACATATGCATGTCGAAGCTATGAAATACAAATTGTATAATTTTGGTGATTCTGCAGGTGAGTTACATGCTCTCATATTTGCACTTAAAACTGATACTACACAATATAGTGTTGAATGATAAAATTAATAATATTTTAAAACTTAGATATTTTTATTTTAAAAACTACATTAAATAGGACATTCTAAAAAATCAAAGTAGAGGAAGAGATCGTGGAAGAAAGGAAAAGGTACCTTTTATTACCTTTCATGGCATATTTTTCCTGGTTTTGGAACTGGGGAGCCTACATTTTCAGGGTGTTTCGAGTCTCACAAATAATGTAGGCATCCCTGAGTATGAAGCAGGAATTTGAGTAGATAGGCTTAAGGTTGAAATCTACATTTTCTTCTTACTGAGAACACAACTACCAGGTACATGGGATCTGGATTCATTTGGTGACAAAATTTCACTTTAACAGAAGGGATTGAGTAAAATAAAAGAAAAATAGAGTGCAGGACACAGTCTCATTCTTTTGTTTGTGCTCTGTGATACTTTTCCCACTATTGACCAGGGGCTACTTTATATGATGCTTAATTGTGTCCACTTGAGTTTCTATTCCTCACCTCAGCTCAGAACTGATCCTTGATTTCCTTTTATTCAACAAACAAGAGTGACTGACTTTTCACTTCATACTTGCTTCCTGGATCATCTTGTCCACAGTTAGTCCTTTAAAAACCACCAATAGGCCGATAAGTTTCAAATCTGCCTAACCCACACTGGAACTCTCTCCTATGCTCTAAGTTCATACATTCAACTGTCTACTGGATCCCTCCCGTGCATCCCTTATATGTCCTTCAAGATGATTAGATCTAAATCAAAATCACTACCCACCCATTTCCACCCTTGCCAAAGTATCCATCTCTGTTTTTCTCATTTTCATTAATAAGTCTATTATATCCAGTCTTATTCTAGTAAGCCAGAATCCCAGGCTTATTCTCTCTTTCACCCTCCCCATCCAAACACCATGATCTGTCAACACTACATCTAAAGGGCCTGTGAATCTTCTTCTTTCTTTCTATCAGCTATGACATTTGAGCACGCCCATCTATTTGAACTGGATTATTGTTCCTTGTTCCTACTATTATGCCCCTCCAATCTATTCCAACACTATGCTGCCTGACAGATATTTCTAAAAAGCAAGATCATATAGTTCTCTTGCTAACAAAATCTTTTACTAATTTCTCACCAATTTCCAACACAAAGTCCATATCTTTAATTTTTCATATGTATTCAAGTAAGTCCTCTCTATTTTTCTTTTATTAAGAGGTAAATATAAAATGTGTTTTATTTATTTACTCTATAAACTCATATAACACTGTGTTCCAGGCACTGTTCCAAGTACTTCATACATATTTATTCATTCATAATCTTTAAAATTTTTAATTATTATGGGTATGTAACAGGTGAATATATTCATGGGATACATATGATATTCTGATACCGGCATACAATATGTAACAATCACATTGTGGTAATTGGGTATCCATCACCTCGAGCATTTATCGTTTCTTCGTGTTAGGAATATTCCAATTCTACTCTTTTAGATTTTTAAATATACAATGAATTATTGCTGGCCATATTCACCCTGTTGTGCTATCATATACTAGATCTTATTCATTCTATCTAACTTTATTTTTATATCCATTAACCATCACCACTACCCCCCATGCCCTCGCTACCCTTCCCAGCATTGGGTAACTGTCATTTTTCTCTCCTGTATTTTCCCCTACACTTCTCTATTGCCTGTCCCCTTTGTGTTTTATGCTCTGTCCACATGAAGTCATTTTGATTTTATAAACTTGCTTGCCCCTCCCTTCTCCATTATTTGTACATGTATCTCCAGTGTCTTTCCAGCTATCATCTTCCAGCCATGCTAATTCTTACGTCATCTTACTGGACTATTAGATAACCTGGATAAACTGTTGCCAAATAATTCAGTTTTACTGGATAAAGTGGCTTAGAGTATAGGAAATGTCGGCTTAGTTCAGAATTCATTACAATAAAATTTGTTAAGTGCAGTAATAGAGATGTTTATCAAATGACTTCCAGGGGAAAATAGGAGTCAAGACAGATTCCTAAAATGGTGACCTTAGAACTTAGTATAAAAGGATAAAATGGTGGCATCTGCAAGGCAGAAAAAAGATGTTGGGGAGGAGAAAAGGCCTTCTGTGCAGAGCAATAGAATATGCAGAGGCATGAAGATTTTTCAGAATGGCTAGAACATCCTCATGTGGTAGTGGGAATTAAGATATAACATGATTTCAAGGATATTTAGGAAGCAGAATTAAGAAAACTTGGTGAATAACTGAATGAAAGAAGAATAAAGAGAAGGTGAGATCATGAATATACAATTTCAAGTTTAGTCTAAAAGGAGGATCATCAGGCCAATCACTGAGACTGGGAATACACAGGTTATTTGAGAGAGCCGAATCCTAACCACTAGACCACCAAGGAGCCTCTATGTAGGTAATCTGAAAATATTAAATTGTAGGAACCCAGGCAAAGATGACCAATACAATGTTAAAATACTGAACTGAGAGTTTTGAGCAAAAAAATATAAATGTAAGGATCATCTAAAAATAGATATCAGGTGAACTGGATGAGAACCCTTACAGATAATTATAAAGTGAGAGAAGAAGGACAGAGAATGGGTTCCTAAGGAATACGAGTAGGCAGAATTGCAGTAGAGGAAAAGGGTTTTTTGTTGGTGGTGGTGGTGGTGGTGGTGTTTTTTTTGTTTGTTTGTTTTTGTTTTTGTTTTTTTGCCACGAATACAGAGAGAAGATAATGAGGTTTCTCAGAAAGTTCACAAATACTCATTAAATGCCTATTAACCACACCCCCTTGTTTCTTCAATCAGATACTTTTAAGATATTTCTTTACCTAGAAGAATTATTATATAAAAAATTATGTCTTACTTACTGTACATTGCACTAAGAGATTCATCTAGGCTTAGTAGATGATTTTAAATGACAAATATTGTTTAACGGTTTAGCCAAGCTATCCGGGAGTGGTATTCAAAATATTTAACCACTAGTGTGACAGCACCAACAAATCAGAAGAGATAAAGGCAAGGTTAGCCTATAAATTTCATGCTAAGAAGGAAAAGGATGTTTACACCAAACACTGTTCTTTTAGTTGTGGAATCAAGGAACTATGATCACAAAATCTTAGGTCTCTGGAAAGGTGTTAGGGTGGTGGTGGGGAGAAATACTGGAGGGTTTGAAGCTGCAGATATTTATGAACTGTTATGGTAATATTTCAATACTTTAACAACTAATGTAAGCAATGCTGGTGCATAGCAACTGAATATTGATCAGTCTGTAGAGCTGGTATCATTACTCCTGAGGGTGAATTTGTTCAATTATTATTTTCCTAAAACTTGTACCCTAATCAGTTGGTAACAATGAAGGAATAGAATTTTAATTAATAGGAGGAATAGCTGCTATAGAGGACACTTTTGCAGGGAATGGCAGTTTAGGGATCATTTGCTCACTATTTATTCAAAAATACCAAGTGTCTATTTTATGTCAGAGGTATACATACTAGTTCTAAAGATCTAAAGTACAACATTGTGCCTGTGGATAATAATACTATATTGTACATCTAAAAATCTGTTAAGAAGGTAGATCTCATGCTATGTGTTCTTACCAAAATAAAACCAACAACTTTGCGTCTGGAAGAATCTTAGGAGAACTAAATTCCAATTATTTCACATAAAATGAGAAAACTAAAATCAGTTATACATAAGAACTTATTAAGGAGAACCGGAATTCTCCAGGATGGCTCTTCCCTATGCATTGAGTCAGTAATTCACTTTCCTTCTAAACTGGGACACTACCACCTTCAACACATGACCACTGGATCTGTTGAAGGGAGAAAACTCATGCTATGTCCCGGCCTGGAATGAGCATATGACACTTTCATTCATAGCACATCGGCTAGAACTCAGCTGCCTCACTGCTACCTAACTCAGGAGATGCCAGGAAATATTATTCACCACCATGCTTAGGAAAAGGATGAAAAAGCTTTCTGACTAGCTAGTCTCTGCCACTTCTCTGATTGCAAGTGCGAGCCCTGGGCTTTTTTTCCTGTCCTCTGAGTACTGAAAGCCTGCAAAAATCAGTACTCAAATTACCTGATTTGGCAAATGCCCTCAAAATGAAAGTCCGATTCAATGCTCCATTTGACTTTGGCCAGGGTGTTTTTACCAGCTCATGGAAGTATTTCTGAAGATAGTTTCAAAAATGTACATAAAACTGTTAGTTATTTTAAGTGGAAGATCACTCCAGTTTCTTGGTGTATCATCTTATGTGAAATAGGAGGCCAGAATTTTGTATTTATTTTGTTAATTTTACCTCCAGTCTTTTTTGAGTCTTTGATTTCCACCTATCTAAATAGGTTAGACATAGATTACTATTCAAAGAATATTCAATCACTTTGGGGATCTATTTCCTAATTTCATATTTAGGCTTCCTTTGTTTTCATTAAAGTAACTTACAACAAATGTTAATAGGACATATCAGGACAAAATAACATTATTGGTCTTCCTCCAAGTAAACACTGATAAACATGGACAACCAGGTTGGTTGTTTTGAGCATGTTATTCTTTTTATCTTCATCAGGATTTTTTTAAACTATGCTTCCAAGGTAATATTTATAACTGCCGAACACCTTTGCACCATTTAATTCCTGGCCATAAATTATATCTTCCCTTTCTCTGAAATATCTAAAACATTTCCTAAACATCTGATTAGACTTTATTACTGCTAGCTTTGAAGTAACAGTTCATCTATCAGAATTAGCCATGCAAAGCAGTTCTTAATCTGTTACTATCACGGCTCATGACAATGAAGGGTTGGTATCAAACACCATTTGGTTCCAGAGTCTGGCTTGAAGCAGCAATAAATAGTTTAACAAACTTTAAATACACAATGAGCTAACATGCTAACCAGTATGTATCCACCTGTTCAATTTAAGCTGTGGTTAATTATAAATATTTTGTACTTCTTTGATTTCTAGTAAAATTATATCTCAAGCCTATTTCATCTCATGCTTTTCCTGGAAAAGCAATCATGTACTCTTTGTCTTCATGTTTTTAAATCAAGAGTAAACAACCACCTCTGCTTATCATTTTCAGATTGTTTTAAAGTAGGTTTCTCCCTTTTTATTCTTTTTGCCTTGCTTATTGTTTACTTTCTAGTTCACAAAGCAAAGTACCAAACCTGGTGAAGTCTACTTTAAAATTAGTAAACAAAGAATTAGATAGTCCATAAGGAAAATGCTTCGGTTTAATCTTTGAGATTTAAAATTACATTGTGAAGAGTTAATTATATTATTTTGTATGTATTTTTACTCTAACTCTGTAAGCTGAAACAAAGAAAATTTGATTGCTTTTCTGAAGTTCTTTGTGCCCTTCCTTGAATGTTCATTATTCCTTTCATACTTTGGAGATTAGTGTTTATCTATACACAGTATTTTACCACGTGAAACTAGAACAGGCAAAAATAAATTAAACAGCTTGCATTCTATATGAAGACTGCTTACATTGAGGCTGATTCATGTCTATTAAAATCTGATGCATACTTTATTAAATTTAAATTAAGAATTTCAGAACTCAACGACACATTTTTATTTTACTGTGCATCGAGACACACAAAACAAGTTCATTTAATGTGATTATTGGATTAAAATATCATCTTGAGAGATGAAAATCATTTTTTCTCCAGAAACAATATTGTGACCTGGCACTGTTGGCTTCAAAATAAAAAAGTGGTTTTCACATGTATTAGGAAAAGTGAGATGTCCCTTTATATTTTTAACAGTGGTATATTTCATATGACTCAGATTATGAAATTAAATGTTTATATCACTATTATTCTAATATTTTCTTCTATTCATAGTTTGTAAGTGTCACAGCTATAATATTTTGGATATTTTGCTTTAATCTATTTTTTGTTACCCTTATTAAGAACCAAGTCTGGCTGACTTTATCACATAGTTTTAATATAAAGAAGGCGGTGTCTAATTTCTGCCCTTATTGCTGGTTTGAAGTTTGAGCCTGTTGAAGGAGATGAGATTAAAGTTAAATGCCTTCATATTTCTCCTTTTGAGGTGCAATTCTGAGGTTAAGGGGATGGAAAAGGATGGGGAGGCAGATAGAAGCACCTGTTTTTAGTATGTGGGATTTTGAGATTTTCAAGTCACCCCTTCCAGGCATACCAGACCTCAGATGACAGCCTCCAGAAAAATCTCTACTCACATCTCTTTAACACCAAGAAAGGGATGGTGACACAGAAGGCAGGAATAGATATGAGCTGGAGGCAGTGCTTCTGTCTGACTGTATTTCTTTTCTTTTTTCTTTCTTTTTTTTTTTTTTTTGAGGAGTCTTACTCTGTCACCTAGGCTAGAGTGCAGTGGCTCAATCTTGGCTTACTGTAACCTCCGCATCCCACGTCCATTCTCCCGCCTCAGCCTCCCAAGTAGCTAGGATTACAGGTGTGCACCACCATGCCTGGCTAATTTTTTTGTATTTTTAGTAGAGATGGGGTTTCACCATGTTGGCCAGGCTGGTCTTGAACTCCTAACCTCAAGTGATCCTCCCACCTCAGCCTCCTAAAGTGCTGGGATTACAGGCGAGAGCCACCGCGCCCGACCTCTGACTGTATTTCTGTGGGTAATATTCAGGGGTTTGAGAGTTTCTACATGCCCTAGACCAGGATGCAAAGCTTCTGAGACAGCCAGAGGTCCAGGGTTCAGGACAAAGAGGCTACCACTTGCAGGGATTTCTCAAATAGGGACAAGGGAGCACAAATTTCAGAGAGGACACAGACACTAAGAAAAATGCAGATGGAACCAGCTGCATCTCTGTGGTCTTTACATGCAGAGCTGGCCAGAACAGGCTCTCTGGCCCAATAACTCTCCCCAGCTGCTGAAAGGGGTGAGTAAACTCATGCCCCTACTTGGTGTCCTCCTAAGGGTGCCAATGGGGGCACAGTGAGCACTTATAAGCAAAGAGACTATTTGGGCCAAACCAGATGTAATGGCAGATTTAAAGATACTCACACCCTATATTCTCCTTATTCCCGTGCTACCTGTTGTGTCCACACTATAATTATTGCCTGTGTTTTGTGTATTTATGTACAGTGTGAAATGTTTGTAATCCTATTAATATATAATAGATATAATGGTTAGGTTAAAGGTGTTCTGTACTAGAGCCTGATACTACATTCCTTTTAATAAAAGTAATCTTAAATTACCTCCTTAAATTTTCCACTCAAAACACTATACAACATTTAAATATGTACAACTAGACTCTCCCAGAAAATCTGAAACTCAGAATTAACTGTCACATTAACTGACCAGATGAGTTATTCAACTCTGGGGCAACTCTAGCTCTTAAAAAAATATTTTTCTAGCACTGAATTGAAACTTTCTTTTTTGGTAATTTTACTTGTAATCATAGTTTGCCCTCTGTCGAAGTGCAAAATTGACCAATGGATACTTCTCTTGATAAGATTTCAATATTTGAAGACTATCTTTGTGACTATCAAAGCTCTTCTTGGTGGTCGGGTACAGTGACCCACACCTGTAATCCCAGCCTACTGGGAGGTGGAGGCAGGAGGATCACTTGAAGCCAAGGAGTTCAAGACCGGCCTGGTCAACATAGTGAGACCTCATCTCTACAAGAAAATTAAAAAATTAGCCAGGTCGTGTTGCATGGACCTACAGTCCAAGCTACTCGGGAGGCTGAGGCAGGAGAATCATTTGAGCCTAGAAGTTCAAGGCTACTGTGAGTTATGATTGTGCCACCATACTCCAGCTTTGGTGACAGAATGAGACCCTGTCTCTAATAAATAAATACATAAATAAAAGCTTTTCTTGAAGCTAAACATCCAGGTTGTTACTTGTTTTTGTTTTTTTTTTTTGATGGAGTCTTGCTTTGTTGCACAGGCTAGAATGCAGTGGTGTGATCTTGGCTCACTGCAATCTCTGCATCCCGTATTCAAGCAATTCTCCTGCTTCAGCCTCCCAAGTAGCTGAGACTACAGGTGCGCTCCACCACACTTGGCTAATTTTTTTGTATTTTCACTAGAGACAACTTCTCACCATTTTGGCCAAGTTGGTCTCGAACTCCTGATCTCAAGTGACCCACCTGCCTCCGCCTCCCAAAGTGCTGGGATTATAGGCGTCAGCCACCCTGCCTGGCACCAGGTTGTTACTTATAAGACAATATTTGAATTCCTTGTTGTCCTAGGTTCCCTTGTGGCTGGTTAGCACCTGTGAGAGGAAAATGGAGATTTTGAATTTTATATGCATTGTTGATCCAGAAGTATTATATAAGCAGTGTTTGTATTTCAATGTATGCTTAGCAGCGTCACACGGGATCTGCTGCTGAGGGGTCACAAACTAGTGGCATAATTTCCTCAGGACTGTGTAGAATTGTTAGTCAACAGAATGGGGCCCTGAAAATAATGACTGTTTCCTCTATTTCTTACTGAAACATAAATTCATGATGCCATTTGCCTAAGCAAAAGATATGGGAACCAAACTTTCCTTTGTCATGAGATTACATGAAATCGATTTGTACTAGCAATGCTGAAATTCTTTTCCAAGAATCTAAATATATATAATGTTTCTATATTACTTGCTTTAGTCATGAAATATTTATTACATATCTACCACAATTAGGATATGCCCTAGGCACTAGACAAATAGCCATTAAAAACAGACAAAATCCCTGTCCTCACAGGGCTTCTATTCCAACACTGTAATGGAATTATAAGTAACTTTACTTATAACTGCAGATATTTATGAATAAAACTAGCCTATTTATACATGTTATTATTACGTGAATAAACATATTTAAACTAATACCTCCTTGTGCATTTTAAACAATCCTCACTTAAGTCATGCTTCAATAAATATACTTAATTTGGAGATATATTAATATGCTATAATTGAGAATACAGAATTTACTGCCATAAAATACATAAAGAAGAATTAGGTTTTGAAGTTAATTATTATATATAAAGCATTTTGAATCCCTTCTTTTCCTTCACGCAAGGTCTCTTCTATTTTTATTTCATGATCAGATTATTTTTGTCTTCTATGTATGGGCTATGTTCTGCCACTCTAAATAATGATACTAATATATAAGATTTATACTAAGGTCTCAGTGTATGAGTGTTATTGGTGTGCCATTTATGAAGTTGGCAGTAGTGTTATTTCTACTTTGCATTTGAGAAAACATATTTAGAAAAGTTAACTCACTTATTCAGAGGCATATGGCAGATGTCAGCTGGGTTTTAATCATGGTCAGTGTCATTTAAGCATTAGGCATTAAACAATTACACTCCTTAACTTTGTACGCTGCCTGGTATGCCACACATCATGGCTTCTATCCTTCCATATTATTCAATTTTGTCACAAACAAAAGATAGCAACCACTTATTCATTCAGGTAACACCTGTGAAGCACTTGCTATGTACCAGGCATTTTCAAAATGCTAGTAATGCATCCTGTAGTGAACCAAATTTACATAATCCTTCTATAGAGAAATCCAGTTTCCTGGATTCCTGTCTTTAGGAAGCTATAATTAACATTTGTAAGTACAACTCAATAAACATTTAAAAGTAAAACATTTTAAAATGATGTTTCAAGGCAAAATATAAATACCTTCCCAGTGTTTCAGATCATAAGGAGTGTAAATAGTAAAGGGTTAAGTACTTATTTAATGTCTTAGAAAAGAGCACTGGAGTAGAATGGAAATAAGATCCTATAGAGAAGACAATAAATCTGTCTTTTTTCTTTCCTCCCTTTCATCAGGGCCACCTCCCCTTCTGTTCTGCTGTTGGTGGTGAAGCCTGGAGCAATCAGCTAATGGCTCACAGCATGAAGCAAGCAGCCTTAATGTCCTCTCTTCCCTCCTCACACATCCTAGAAGCAGTACTTCAAGAAGTGATCAGCATTGTGTCACATTTCTAGTTTCACTATTTCTGTTTTTCCATGAGTATTAAATTTCAAAAAAAAGTACATTTTCTTTTCCAAAGTTTGAAATTAAAAGGATTGCTTTGAGATTATATTTAATCTGAGTACACATTTTTCTCATACAAAGTGTCAAGTATCATGTAGGTCAAAGAGAAAATATTTGATCATCCATTAGTAATTTTTCTAGAATGGTAGGCATTAAGACTACAACTCACTTGTTGATTTTTTTCCCTGCAAATAAGAAGTATAGGATTTTTGTTTGTTTTTTGATTCTCTCTGCTGCACTGATAACACTGTAGGTTTGAATATAAATGCCTGTAACCTTTGACTACTTTTACTTAAAAGTCTATTCTTTATTCTAAGATTGGTATTCAAAATTACTGAAAAAATTCCACTTGATCTCTTATAAGTACGTTAAAAAATTCATCAAATTTCATTACAGTAAAATGTTAAACCAAAAAATATGGCATAGACCTTTACGGAATACATTTGTATTCAATCTCATTATATTTTCAATCATTCTACATTCAAAAACAAGTTTCCCTTCTTTTCAGTTTAGAAAATTATGTAAGAATAAGGAAGTAAAATACTTAGCTGCATTCCCAATACCCAGATTAGAAACTAGCATATGGTAAATACTCAATATTTTTTAAGTGAGCAAATAAATGAGTTAAAAGCCACAAATGAAACATATTGAATGATGTCTAGTTAATCCCAATGAAAAGCATAGTAGCTGAACAAGCATTACAAAACATTTTATTTACACACTAAGTGCACAATATTTATAAGTATAAGATTTTTTTTTTTTTAAATCACTTAGGTACCTGTAGTGGCTCTTTCCTTTAACAACCTCTCCCTTCCCTCTTCTTTCCTTCTTTCTTTCTCTCTTTCTCTCTCTCTCTCTCCTCCTTTCTCTCTTCACATGCAAGTGCACTCACACAGAGAATCCAGAAAGACTCTTCAGATGCATTATCACTCTTTGTGCACATGGGTCCATTGAATTTGAACGTAAATTCCATTTTAAGAAGATCACACATGAAAAGCTTTCATTCCTCAAAGAATTTCCAAGTACCATGCATGATATTTTTCAAAGACTGGGTTTACATTAGAGCTTACAGGATGCGCTTTCATCATTGACTCAATTTTTATCAAAATTGAATTGCCCTCTTAACTTTATTTTCAAATCCCTTGATTTAAATTCTATACCAAATGAAAGTCCAAATACACTGCCAAATAGAATTAACTCTCGATGTCACTATTAGTTCAAATATAACTTCATGAATAAAATTAGTCTGCAATTAATTACAAGAATATAAATATGCGGTTGGGTTTTAGGTGGTTTCCCTGACATAGGGGAAATGTGGAATTAAAATATTTAGTCTTAGGCCTTCTACATAATTCATACTATTCCTGGAGCTGAGTGAATTATCTTTCAAGGGTGATTTAATCTAATTTAAAAATTGAACAAATTTTGAACTGGGAATTTGCTTGCAGTTTTCAAAGATATTGTGTATATATATACCTTTGTCTATTTTAAGCATTGAGGGAAAAGAGGAGGGGCAAAAACTAGAGAGAATATAATTACATAACTGCATGACATTCGATCATCACTACAGACTATAAAGTGTGTGTGTGTGTGTGTGTGTATGTGTGTGTGTGCATGCACAAATTTGGGGCATGAAAACCCTGTGAATCATCCATTAAGAGTAGACCAGGTGCTGTGGGCTGTGGTTCACACCTGTAATCACACAATTTTGAGAGGTCCAGGCGGCCAGTTCACTTGAGGTCAGGAGTTCGAGACAAGCCTGGCCAACATGGTGAAACGCCATCTCTACTAAAAAAAAAAAAAAAAAAAAAAAAAAAAAAAGGAAAAAAGAAATACAAAACTAGCTGGGTGGGGTGTCAGGCACCTGTAATTCCAGCTACTCAGGAGGCTGAGGCTGGAGAACTTGAACTTGGGAGATGGAGGTTGCAGTGAGCTCAGATCACACCATTGCAATCCAGCTTGGGTGACAAGAGTGAAACTGTCTCAAAAAAAAATAAATAAATAAATAAATACAAATACAAATAAATAAATAAAAAATAATTAAAATGAAAACAAATTAAGAGTTCAACTACTACAATGTCTGTTTTCTTTTTTTCTTCCCTCCTTCATTTATCTAGTCAAAAAAATAATTACTGAATACCTAGTATGTGTTAGACACTGCTCTACGTGCTAGAAACATAGTAGTAAAAAGCAGGCAAAAATTCCCTTCGTAACAGAGTTTTCATTGTAGTGGTTGGAGGGAAAGATAATTAACAAATAAGTAACTAAAATATATGGTGCAACATGCTGTGATAAGCGCTACAAAGTGTGGGTGATCAGAGATGGGTCTCTCTGAGACTGCAACTTTTAAGACCTGAATAGCAAGAAGGAGCCAGCCAGGTAAAAACTAAAATAAAAAGCATTCTGGGAAGAGAAAACGGCTATTGTAATGTCCATATGTGAGAAACAAGCTTGGTATGATCAAGGAACAGAAATCAGGTCGGTAAAGGTAAAGGTAGATGGTTTTGTTTTGGCCTGTGGTTCAGATTTTAAGGCTCATCCACAAAGATCCCACTGTTCCCTGATACTTTGTCTTTGCCCTTGTCTCTGCAAGCAGATGATTAATGTTGCTTTTTATGGGTACTCCAGCAAATGTATCATTTTGGACTTTTATTGGGCACAAAGCACAGAAAGTACACCATTTCAGTCTCCAGTATTTTGATGAAGAAATATTGTTGTTTAAGCAACAGAAGCCATTTATTTTTAAATATTAAAACTATGAAGAAACCCTGGTTCTGACCTGATTTGGTGATTATCCTGTCATTTATGTTTTGCTTCTGGGCTTTTTATGACTTTGGGCTATTTCTGACTTATTCAAGTACTTAGATTTCAAGGGCTAATTCCTACACATGAAAATTCTCACCCCTTACTAGGAACCACAGGTTGTGCCTGGCTCTCCTGAATCACAGTGCATCTCTCCCACCTGCTTTGTAGAGCCAAAGGCCCTTATGGACTGCAGTTATTTCTATTCTTTGTTAAGCACAGGATTTGGTGTCAGAAAAGCCTCAGCTTAAAAACTAGCTCTGATGCTTTTCAATTTTGTGATCTTGGGCAATTTGTCTAACCTCTTTGAGCTTCAGTTTTCTCCTTAAAAATAATCACAACACATAATGAGCTTATGCACATAAAGAATTTAGCAAACTGACAAGTAACAGGACAGCACTTAGTTTGTGTTGGCTGCTACTGTCATCTTCATCAGCTTCATCTCCATCATCTTGAGTCTCTTTTATTTAAAATAGTTGTTCGCAAAGTGTGGTCCCTAGACCAGCAATATGAGCACCTCCTGGCAACTTGTTAGAAATGTAAATTATCTGGCATGACTGAATGAGAAACTGGGGTGCGGCCCAGAAATCCATGTTTTGCCCAACCCTCCAAGTAATTCAGATGCATGCTAATTTTGCATTAGAGGAAATGTATTACATTATAACGTTTGTCTTTAGTTGTTCATAATTACATTCCTAAGAACTGTGCTGGAGTGAGTGGCTTAGAAATTTGTAATGTCCTTTAAGAAAAACTTCTTAAAATCTATATAGAAAAAAAAATCACTTAGAACATGGCTCATATGCAATGCAAATAAAAGATAGGCAAACGAAATGTATTTTGCTCCCCTCACAGATATCTATGTTGTGTTTAGATGTTAGAATAATCCTCTGAAAACTCTTAGAGCAGTCAAGGTAGGTCATAATTGCTCCTAGAAAGTCTTCATACTTGTTTCAAGTCTTAAATAAATGAAAATTTAGTCATTAAATAAAACAGTTGAGTTTAATGATATATGTGATTTTTTTATAAATTAAGAAGTTAGATATACTATTCTAAAGTGGAATGTAATAGTGTAATAATCAATCTTATACCAAATTTTCACCTTCATCAAAATTCAAACTTCTTGGCTGAAGAAGCAACTAAGATTTACATGCACATGCAACATGGTAGGAAACTTCTTTTCTACAATTTTATTGAATATGTATAGTTTTATCTCCTTTATTCCATGCCATATTGGCCTCCTATATAAAGATGATAACATAAGTGGCATCAACAGAGCATATTCATATTCAGGACTGTCACTAGGATGGTTTGATTTTCATGGAAACTGTTATATTTATGAAATAATTAACAAGGAACATGGTGATTAAGAGTAAAATATTTGGTTGTAATGCAAAATAATTTAATCTAAGTAGTGTGTCCTTAAGTCCTGTTTCAACAAGTGGTTTTAACATATATTTATAGTTGCAGAACATTTTTTTCTAATGCAATCTGATAAGAAAATATATAGAATTAATTCAGCTAATATTTTCTTAGATAAACTTCTACAGCAAAAGGCAGATTTGCTTACTGCCTCCTTCTGGGGCAAGACATGGGATTTCTTGCAGCCTATTATAAAAGATTTGAGTTTCCTAATCACAGATTTCTCAACTGTGTTGCAAACCTATTGTGTATCCATTTGGGTCCTCCACCCTGTCTCTTGTGTGACCTGGGAAATATGTGAAACCAACGTGAATGCTGATACTATGGATGCTGCCACTGCTATGAAAAATAAAATTCTCTCTCTCCAGCCTAGGAGACGTATGTCTTCTTCCTTTGTTTATTAAACAGTATCCAGCAAACTTTTCAGCTTGCACATTGAACCTTCACAGTTCTTGATACACATGTGGCAACCACAGTCGTTGTTTAGAAACCTCACGGTCCTTTCAGTCTGTTTCTTTATTCTGACGTGGTTGAATAGCATGAAAAATAAGTCTTGTTTATGCAAGTACATATCGACCAGAAATGACTGTGTTATAATTGTTACCTTGGCAATTAAAAATAACTTTCTATGATCTGAGGGTTTGTGTCATCTCCAATTCCTATGGTGAAATTCTAACCCTCTAGGTGATAATATTAGGAGACAGAAACTTTGGAAGGTTATTACATCATGAGGGTAGATGCCTCATTATTTGGTGTAGTGTACTTATAAGAGAGACTCCAGAGAACTTGTTCACCCCGTCTGCCATATGAGGTGACAGCAAAAAGATGACCACTGAGGAAGCAGGGCCTCACCAGACACCATTTCTTCCAGCACCTTGATCTTGGACCTCCTAGCATCCATAAATGAGAGAAATAAACTTCTGTTGTTTATAAGCTGGGCACTTCATGATAGCAGCCCAGATAGATTAATACATCTCTCAATGAAACAATAGGGAAAATTAAAAGAGAAGTAGGTTTTTTGTTTGTTTGTTTGAGATAGGGTCCCGCTCCATCAACCAGGCTGTAGTGCAGTGGCACCATCTTGGCTCACTGCAATCTCCACCTCCAAGCTCAAGCCATCCTCATGCCTCAGCCTCCTGGGTGGCTGAGACCACAGGCACACACCACCATGCTCAGCTAATTTTTGTATTTTTGTAGAGATAAGTTTTTGCTATGTTTCCCAGGCTGGTCTGGCTGCCCACAGTGCTGGGATTACAGGCATAAGCCAGCACACTGCAGCCACAGTATTTTGTTTTAAATATTAAACCACAAGTGGTACTATTTGTACAGATTTTCCAACTGTCCAAATCCCTTGTTATGTGTAGGAAAGTCAAACAAGATCACCAGAAACTTGTAATAAGCACAAACAATATTCATGCTATAGCACAATGCTACAAAAAAACCTGTTAAATCCCTATTGCACAATTTTCTGTTATGACAGGAGCTTTCACAAGCCATGTTCCAAAGCTAAAACTATCAGTAATTTAAATGTGTCCAGTGTCAGGTAAAAATGTATTTCCTCAGATAAATAGATCCAGACTATAAGTTAGTTTGTTTTAATCAATCTTAAATGAACTTGGCAGCTCTCTGTAGTGGTTATAAATTTTTGTAATCATTTCAACACATAATTTAAAGACTTTTTTTTTCAAAAGCTTTAAAGAATACCCTGTATACCTTAGTTTTCTATTTTAAGTATACAGACATCATTGCTTTTGTTTCTTCTTTCATGATGATATCTCAGAGGCTTGAAACTGAATGCTGGGTCTTACTTCCTCACTTTTTGAGTCAAGGTAACTGCCAGGATATCAGGATCTAGGATCCACTTTATCAAGCTTCCAGGTTATAGCACAAAACTAAACTTATTTGGTTTAGGAGTAGCTCATATGCAATTTGTTTAAATAAATCTTATCTCAAGGTTAAACAAGGGAGAAAGACTACATATGTAATTTTAAATCTAAAATCAGCCTCAGATACCTATTAATTAAACACAATGGAAAATAAAACTAAAATATATAATGATAAGAAATAATAACACAAAATAAATAGAACTACAAAATAGTAATAAATAACAGAAACATATCAATATAGTAACCTGAATATAAAACAAAACTTTATATTAAAATAAACTGAATTATGGAAAATGGGAAAACTTAAATGCATTTTCTCCAGCAGAAGTACTGAAACTTTGTAGATAAAGAAGGCAGACAGTTCTCCAGAGACTAAAACAGTTTGTCAAAATGTGACATGGATATAATCTTATATTTGAGGTGAGGTTTTTCTGTGACCTTACTGAAACATATGACATCTCAAGGATAGGAATGAGATCCAGTGCAAAAACAGCATTACCTTAATATTTTCTAACATGTCTAGCCATTAAGTTTTATGTATTCTGGGAACCTAGAGCATAATACTGCTGTATTTATGTGAAATGTATTGATTGGCATAGACCTTTCAATATTTTGAAATTTGCTTAACATGCTACAAAGTTAGTATCAGAGAAGACATATTTTATAACACTAAGTTAAGGTGACTATACAAATTTCTATCATATTTATTGTCACTGTATCCTTGACTTATTTGTAATGTATCAGTAACATTTCTAATGGCAACTTCAGAATTTCTATGTCAGAGGGTACGTGAGGTAAGGGGTACTGTATACATTGGAGGAATAGATGAAGTTGTATTTTTATTGCATTTACATAAAATTGAGCAAATGCCAACTGTCCATAAAAAAATGACACGGATTCCAGCCGGGCGCGGTGGCTCACGCCTGTAATCCCAGCACTTTGGGAGGCCTAGGCAGGCGGATCAGGAGGTCAGGAGAAAGAGACCATCCGGGCTAACACGGTGAAACCCCGTCTCTACTAAAAATACAAAAAATTAGCCAGGCGTAGTGGTGGGCGCCTGTAGTCCCAGCTACTCAGGAGGCTGAGGCAGGAGAATGGCGTGAACCCGGGAGGCGTAGCTTGCAGTGAGCGGTGGTCCTGCCACTGCACTCGAGCCTGGGTGACAGAGTGAGACTCAGTCTCAAAAAAAAAAAAAAAAGAAAAGAAAAGAAAGAAAATGATATGGTTTCCAATGGAGATTAAGGGATGGCAGAGACGATCAAACCCTTACTTGGCACATCCAAGATACTTTTTTTGTAACTTCTGTTTCATATTTTTTGTTTGCATATATCTATTTCAAGTTTATACTTTATTAGAGAGCAACGGCATGTTGCTTGGTTTTCTTCCTTTATATGCTATGTGCAATTACTTAGAATATTGTTACAAACATTCTTGATCACCCCAAGAAGGATCCAGACATATTTTATATACTTTCATTTTCATAACATTAACTGTTTCTCATAATGTTTAGTTTCCCATTATATAATTGAGTTGTACAATTTTATCTTCTGCAAGTAACTACAATAATTTACAGCTATGTGTGTCTGTGTGTGAATGTGTGTGTGTGTGTGTGTGTGTGTGTGTTTCAAAAGTACAGTCTAGGGCCTCAGTGAAATAAAAGACAATATTTGATGCTGATTTAAGTTTATTGGAATGGAAGGGTAAGGGAAAAGTCTTCCGGGGGCCTTAGGACGTGGTGTGCTCTAGAAAGACACAGACCAAGAAAAGGTGATTACGATAAAACACAAGTGTTATAATAGGACAGTATGGACTATGGAAAAGCAAAGGAGGAAGTTTCTAACTAGACTTGGGGAGAATCTAAAACAGATTTGTTTTAGGAAACTTTCTATTAGCTCTCCAGATCTACCTCCATCATCCCCCCTGGTTTCCTGACCTGGCAGATTATGTGGGCCCTATGGAAGCCTCTGACTTCAGGAGGTTCAGCCAATGGGGAGAATAATGTGTTCAGTGTATTGATTCCCCTGGCCCTCTGCCTGCAAATTTGCTATGTCCTGTGGTCACTGATCCTCTCCAGTCAGCCTTTACTACAGAGCTGTCTTTCCTTCTGGTTTCAGATAACCACTGTCTCCCCTCACCCCTCTGGGTTTAGGATTGTAATAGCTCTTACTTTTTGTGTTAACCTAGATAATTGCATTAACATTCATGTCTTACTTACACCCTGCCCAAACTTTTGTAAACAGATTCACTGTGGTATACTCTTCTTGAGATACTGTAATTTGAGTGTGAAATCTGTTTTTGATTGGAGCCTGATTTATACAACCTGAGTCTTGAAGGATAAATAGGAAAGCAGAGAATCTCTCAGAGAACTATAAAATGTTTAGAGTAAATGAAAGAATAGCAGGAGATGAAAGTAGAAAGGACTTGTATGCCACTCTGAGGAGTACGGAGATGACCATAAAGATGATAAACAACTGTGACCCGATTTCAGGTAAAGGAGTGATCTAATCTTACTTGCATTTTAGAAAGATTCTTTGGACATTATTTAGGAAGGAGTTTTGAAGGGAAGTTAGACTTCAGCAGTTAGCAACCTAAAGTAACAAGCCACACAAAAGAAACTTGGGACTCACAAATACTTTAAGAAAGCTGTTGGCAATGGCAATAGAGATAGGAAGAGAACTGTGAGAACAGTGAAGTTGTGTGAGGCATGAGAAAAGGTGATTATCGGTTGTCTGGCCTGAAAAATTGAATGACTGGAGGTGTAATTAACTGAGGGAGTAGTTACAGCAGTATCTGAAGACAAGATTCAATGAGTCAATTTGACAATAGGAAGTCAGGGTAGCAATTAGATTAGGGTATAAGAGGCAAATTCATGTATTAAATATTTTGGCTGGATATGCTGTAATGGGGCAATACAGAGATTTAATGAAGCTTTAGTGGTACAAACATAAGTAGTAAACATAAGTAATAGAGCACAAGGGGCATAATATAAGCATGTAGCCATAATATTCTTAGGTGTGTAGATTACAACATAAATATGGTACAAAAACAAACTCAAATACCTATACTAAATTAAGAAAAAAATTCAGCTGAGTGCCTTGGCTCACACTTGTAATCCCAATACTTTGGGAGGCCGAGACAGGTGGATCACTGGAGCTCAGGAGTTCAAGACCAGCCTGGGCAACATGGTAAAACCCCATCTCTACCAAAAATACAAAAAACTTAGCAGGGCATGATGATATACACCTGTAGCCTCAGTTACTTGGGGGGCTCAGGTAAGAGGATGGTTTGAGCACGGGAGGTGGAAGTTGCAATAAGCCAAGATTGCACCACTGCACTCCATCCCGGGTGACAGAGCTAGGCCCTATCTCAAAAAAAAAAAAAAAAAAAAAAAACGAAGAAAAAATTCTTGCTAGACTTTTATGTTCAAAATCAAAAAGCTCAACTTCATGTGAATTACAAAATACATGAAGAGTTTCTGAAAGAACACTTAATTTCCTAATTATAATAAATTTGTGTTTTAATTTTGGAAACATCACTCTTGAGGTAGATAAATGTAAAATATAGTGGTCCCACATGTTTTGATTTCATGATAAAATGTTACAGAAGATGATATAATTAAAACATCCCCCATGATATTTTCAGTTTCATGGAGATGAAACTCATTTGTTTCACGTACAATATACTTTATATCCATTAATATTAAAGCAGTACAAGATAGCCTAAATTGCATGTCCTATTGCCATCTCAAACCACATACAAGGTTCATTTGTGCATCCTTGTACCTTTTATTTCTATCTTGAAATCCTCTTTCTGTTTACTTGCTTCACTAAATAGATATGACATTGCTTGTCACCTGCTTAGATGATATTGACAGAGCTGTCCTATAGGTTCCTTCTAGGCCTAAAATATTAGGTCCTTGTGATATATTTGTGTCATCTCAAGCAGCAGTCGTATAAAATGGAAGATTGCTTAATATAAAATGCAAATTTCTCAAGGGCAAGGCATCATCCTGCATAGTAATCATAATAATGCCTATAAAAATTATTCAAATATTTATTTGATTTTATGTTGCATTAATTTTTTCCCCAGAAGTTCAATGGATAAATAAACTCAAGCTGAGGTTTTGCTATAACCATCTGCTTAAGATGAGCAAACTGCAAAATATTGATTTCCTACTGAAATTTGAGAAGGGTTAAGCATGACTTGGCGAATATCAACTGGCTACAAGAGTAACAGTTATAAGCTTAATTTCATCATTTAGAATTTTAAACTACTGACATACAGTCCAAGATTTTAAACAATTATATATTTTGTTTTCTCTATATGTACTTACACTTCTATATTAATTTTTGTCTGCCATAATCAACAACTTTAGATTATAAACTATGCAATAGAAGAGGCCACATTTTTCTTGCTTATGAATATATTCTTAAAGGAAAGCAAGAGTTTAATATTTTTGGTAACAAGATGAAATAAGTTACCTTGCCTTTAAGATTTGGATAGTATTTTATACCCTACTGATCATTGTTCCTTTTATCTCCCTGATGTCTTGGTCAGTTGTGGAATCACCTTAAATCACAAATTTAAGTCGTATTCACTTAGTACTATAGTTGATTCTAAACAATAAAGTATCTTTAAAGAGATAAATTTGCCTCAACCACAGATTCTTCTATTGTTTCTCCTTTAGAATTCATTTTCTCCTACATATATAATGGATATATAACATTTATATACAATTTATTGAAATTATTTTTATGTAAGATAATAAACAAGACTGGTCAGTATTTACACTATATGCTAACATTTTCAGTGATTCCTTTTCATTGAAAGTTTTAAACTTAAAGGTTAAATGAAATGAATGTGGCAGTATGACATTTTCATCTCATTGATCTTCAGGATTGTCATGTCATCCAGCTGCCTCGGAAGGCTCTCTTTCTTTTGGATATATGTTCCTCAGAAGCTTTGGCCACATTTTCAGTCAAAGAATAACAGTATCACTACTAGAAAGTCCACTGTCTTACCATTAAAGCAAGGACTTATTAAAAATATCCAAGAGGTTAGCATTCTTAGGATAATTAAACACACACACACACACACACACACACACACACACACACACACACACAATAACTGTTGGAATTTTTAACACAGGATAGTTTAGCAGATACAAGAACAGCCTGCGGAGGCAGATTGCCTGAGTTAAAAATCTGTGGTGTGACGTTGGAAAGGCTATACAACCGCCTGGACATTAGCTTATTTATCTATACAATGGGCATAATAATAGTAAAGTAATTATCCTGTGGGGTTATTATGATGTTTAAATGAACCTGTAATTAATTTGAATAGTGGCATATAGTTTGTATTACAAGATTGTTAAATTTTTACAAAATGGATAAAATGATGGAAATTTTAGCATACCACACAGTTTATAAAAAGCAGTGGTAAGTTCATTGTCATTTGATCCACATATAATAAGTATTTTGTTGTTATTGTTGGCAGGATTTTGATATAAGAATAAAATCAAAACACCATCATGACTTCTTTCTGAAATTCACATCCTAAAATTGATAAGGTAACTCTTCTTGGTTTTCTACTGAAATAAAAACAAAACAAAATATTTTCCTGATGCCACTGTACAAAAATAGGACTAGGGCTTAGTTTATTTTCAAACTCAGATCATATCTTTCAAAGTAAATGCTCCAGCCAAACAAACAATAGCAACATCTGCTCATATTGATGAAAACTTTGGACCAGTTGGGAGCCTTTATTAATTTTCAACTAGAAAGCAGATCATACAGTAGAGGAAGGACACAAACAGTCATAGCAGTCATTAGCATATTAATACATTACAAAATCCCAATTTGGGAAAGATATTTTTAAAAAGTGAAAAAGTATTATCTTGTATAACTATCAAATGGCACACACGGAAGCTTTCTCAATCATTTCTTAATCTTGGCCACCAACAACTGAAAACAACAAAAACTTAGTGCTCAATGGAGGATACACATTCAGCTGCTCCCTAATAATTGTTTTCAAAATAGAATCTCTTTGTAGTAGAAGACTCTGAAAATGTCAGAGCTGATTGCAAACAAGCACCACACACCTCACAGGAGACTGAACCCAAAGCCTCCTATTGTTCAGGAATATTAAAAGCAGTTGTTTTAAGACTTCACCGAACATTTTACTAATGTGTTATTAAATCAAATCTGTTTGCACATCATTATCTAACTAGGTCAAGTGAATACAAAAAGATAATTGTTTAAAACTAATGCAAACCACTTAAATACCTTCTTTAGTTTATGAAAGTAAATACATCACTTGAATGTATGATTGCACAGTAAACCCCCACTTTAGATATTACTTTTCATTATCATAAATATAGGAAAGCTGAATTAGCTTTTATTTTCAGAGAGAGCACGGTGAAACTCAGTAAAGGGTAATTTAATAGGCAAGTTTCAATACGCCAAACAGCGAGGGGCAACGAGGCATACATTTCTCTCTTATTTTACAGCAAAGCAATAACCCAGTATTGCTTCTTATAGCCACTGGGTAGAATTGGTGAAGGGACCTCTACTACCCAACTTCCTTCATTTTGTTCTGCAAAAAATATATTCCTGATTCAATATTATCATTATAAGCTACTGCAAGTTGCTAAAAAATCAAATTTTAATTTTCATTAAAATGCCTTAATAGTGGCTGAGAATATTTGCATAAAGGTAAAAAAAAATGATGTTCATTATGTTCATAAAACTGAGCATAGCACTTTTGTGAAAACACCACAGAAATTCAATTTAAACTCAAAGAGAAAAATTTAAAACAGAATTTTGATATCCAGCAAGTTTTCTTTAAAGAGGTTTCATGTTGTGATAGTTATTACCTTAGTGAATTCACCACCATCCAAGGTCAGGCCATTAGGACTGTAGACTCAGAAAATTGCTATTAGGAGAACACTAAGCACCATCCCATTACTCAGTTCAGATTCACATTTACAAAATTCAGATCGCAATTCAAAGCCATGGTACAAATTTCTTCATTTTCAGTGAGATTTGTAAGTCTTTCATATATACTGAAATATGACTAACTTATTTTCTAAACAATATTCATCTGACCCACTTATTCTTTCTCCACAGTAGACCTATATGGAAGCCAATTAAAATCAGAAGGTTTTTGGAGAACCTAAATCAGAACAGGGGCATTAGATGACCCACATTTTCAATGACTTCCAGCCTAAGAAGTCCTAATGTGGCCTTTCAATGACATATATTGAAAGGCATTTCTGTCTTAGAATGTGTTTAACTGGGAGATGAGTTAGGAGGCTAATGCATTAATCCTGCATTAGATGCTAATTAAAATTACATTTTATTCACCCTAAAAGTGAGACTATGCATTCTTCTTTTTCAGTTGCTATGTGAAGCAAATGGAATTCTACTTTTCTATTTGCCTAAATATTCCTTAACCTTTACTTTGAACAACAGCTTGCCACATCATTATAGAAGATCAAGAATTAAACTGAAATACAGTCTTTGACAGTTTGTATTTTGACAGGTAAAGCTTTGGCATTCTTTTTTCTCCATTTATAGGAGCATGTTCCTAAGGCTTTCTTCACCCGTGCATAGCTTTCTGTTGGTAATTAGGGGAAATAGGACACAACTGCCATGTTGTGCAATGCTGTACAATGTGCCCAGCATCTGCCTAGGAAAGAAATTCTGAAGTTACAGAAAAAAAAATCCATTTAAATCTTCATCTTAATTCATGGCAATAGTGAGATAATTGAAAGTCATAGTAATTTTTTCCCAAAGTGCATTCTCAAAACATATAGCTCAAATTCAATCTTAAACAGATTAGTTAATGAAGTCTTTATTATGTACCAAATTACAGGATTCATCTTTCCAACTTAAAAAAGTAAGATAGTAATGAGTTCAACAAAGGTGAAAGTGGACATTTAGAAACATAGCACAAAACTATGCAGTTTCTTAAACTCAAATTAAAGCTCAAAACTATTTCTGAAGAGCAGTGTTATCAAAATGATTGAAAAGACACTTGGGAAAAACCAAACCTATGTATCAGGAATAAAAGATATCAGATCAAATAACACATCTAGCTCTGCTCTTTTAGTTTTCTCAAAATGGCTTCAAACAAAACAATAAAGCTCAGAAATAGTGAGGAGTATAATATAAAAATCTGAGAGAGAGAGAGACCGAGAGAGAGCGAGAACGTGCATGCAAGAGCATGCAAAGGAAAAGCTATAGTTGATGGAATAGTTGATGGTATAATTTCCTTCTCGAAAATAAATACAAATCCCTTAATGTCTCATGGAAAGTCCAGGTTTAACCTCAAAACATGAACAGCAAAACTATCTGTTTGCTTAACAGAGAAGTGAACCATATGAAAAGGAAAAGTTAATTAGCATTCAACTAATAGGTACCACAACTTGAGCACTCCCAATTGAGCACTTTTAAAAAGTAAGCGTTCCACTCATTTAAATATGCTGGAAGTTGAGCACCAGTTGAGCGCTTTCACAGCACGCTGAGTACTGATTGAGCTATTTCGAAGCACATCGAGCACTTTTCTGTGTGAATTCTTAGCCAAATTTCCATACCCCCAACCCTCCCTCTGCCTACACAGCTGCTAATCAAGAGATGCCTTCCCGGTATGAAATTCCTTTGCCAATTAGAATTACATTTTAGCCTTTCATCTTTTATGTTTTAACAGAATTAAGAAATAATAATAATTAGTGAATATATGTCACGTTGAAGTTCATTTCTTCTAAAGAGATATCAGGTAAGCCAATTCCATCCCTTAAGGGCCCAGGTTAAAATTTGGAAATTAGCATCCATGCTGAGAGTTGTGAGGCTGCCCCCAAACTTAATTGTGGACAGCACAAAGGATTTTCAATAGTTCATTCCTCCAGGTGTTTAAAATCAGCCAGGAAGTGAAGCAACCTGAGAATGGTACAGTTCCCTAGATCTTTGCAATTGTGTCAAGGTTCTTAAATGGGCATGATCTCACCCATAAAAAGAAAGTGTTTCATGCTACATAAGGCAAACATTTTCTTTCTGCTCTACTTTTTGCCTAAGTGAAACAAACAAGTAGGTATTGAGTGCCAAATTATATGTAGGTTCTATGTCAAATACTGAGGAGAATGTGAAATTTACAATAGCCCCTGACCTCAAGGTGATTACTGTTGTATTGGGAAAAATAGTGCAACATCCCGGCCTATACTGTGCTATGTTAATTTCTAATGTTCTTCTAATTTATCCTTTCCTTAGTCCAGATATTTAAATTATACTTATAATTTTTTATTGCAGATAATTGTTTATAGTCCATTTTTGTTGTTTGTGTTTTTTGCTTATGGATTGAGGTGGGAATAAATGACTAAAGAACAAGTTCCTAAAATCAGATCACAGATATAACAATACTGAGAGACACTATTCTAGGAGACCCGGTTTAAGCAACTAACAGATGTTCCTAGATAACGGCTCTATAGTGCTAGTTGTATACATAGGAAAAAGAAAAAACAGATCCATTTGTGCAGAGATGAGAACTGAATGTCTCAAATTTTATATCTTGTAAGAACCAGGAATGTTTCCAACATGAAGAAATGATTAATGTTTGAGGTAATGAATATCCCAGTTACCCAGATTTAATCATTACAGATTGTATCCTTATAACAAAATACCATATGTACCCCATAAATATATGCAACTAGTATGCATCTATAAAAATTAAAAATAAAAATAAAAAAATTTAAATAAAATTTTTAATTTTTAATTTTTAAAAATTTCAACCTGGATAATGAAAACAACAATATTACAAATAAATAAATATAATTTACTAGTTATTTTAACCTCCTCTTAATTTAAAAAATAAAGAGATTAGACTGGATTTTAAAAATGTTGTTTTAATTGGGCAGGCGTGGTGGCTCAAGCTTGTAATCCCAGCACTTTGGGAAGCCAAGGTAGGCAGATCATGAGGTCAAGATATCGAGACCATCCTGGCCAAAATGGTGAAACCCTGTCTCTCCTAAAAATACAAAAATTAGCTGGGCATGGAAGCGAGTGCCTGTAGTCCCAGCAACTCAGAAGGCTGGGGTAGGAGAATCGCTTTAACCTGGGAGGTGGAGGTTGCAGTGAGCCAAGATGGTGCCACTGCACTCCAGCCTGGTGACACAGCGAGACTCCATCTCACCAAAAAAAAAAAAAAAAAAAAAAAATTATTTAATCTTTTCATGGAAGTTCTAGCAATCAGTCCCAAAATACCAAAAGTAGGCTGTCTAGGGAGAGGGTTGGTCATTGCTAAGAAAAAAATCTTTACTTTCATTTATGTTTTAAGAAATTTTTGTTTAGTTAGAATTTAGCCAATGTAAAGATTAAATGCAATGTGAGACACTCTCATAGAAAGATGAAAGGCAGAAAGGATGCAATTGGATAAGAGAGAACTGTTTCAGTCGTTCTGGAATATATCGTTTAGTTCTCATTTAAACCAGTTATAAGATGTCTACAACTCTCAAAATCAAGTAGCTGCAATCATCAATCTCCAGAATAAATTTCACCTCAAAAATTTACCATTTATTTAGAGATTGTTGTCTGCAATATATTAGGCTATATATGGTGTGGGATTTGGACTTGAAAAAATAAAGAGCTCGACCTCATGAAGTTTACAATCTAATGACGGAGAACAATAAATTATGGGAATACTGGTGATAGATTTTAAAGATCCAAAATTCACAAAGGTATCCGTCCATTAAGCAAAGCTAGAAAAATAAATTTAATTAGTCTGTAGGGAAATTTAAAGAGCCACTTTTCTTTTTTTTCCTTAGTTTTTGTTTCTCTGGTAATTATCTGAAATTTTCTCTTTCATAGTAAATATAAAGTAATTATTTAATTCAGAATGTATTACCAGTTTTTTTCCCCCTGAGACAGGGTTTTGCTCTGTACTCCAGGCTGGATTGCTGTGGTGGTGCGAACATGGCTCACTGCAGCCTTGACATCCTGGGCTCCAGTAATCCTCTTGCCTTAGCCTCCTAAGCAGGAAGGGCCACAGGCAGGTGTCACCACAACTGGCTAATTTTTAAAACTTTTTTTGGAGACAGGATCTCATCATGTTGCCCAGGCTGGTCTCAAATTCCTGGGCTCAAGTGATCCACCCACATCAGCCTCCCAAAGTGGTGGGATTACAGGCGTGAGCCACCACACCGATCTTTTAAGGTAAAATTTCATTTTGCATTTGGGTCTCCCGCCTGTCTAATTCTCAACCTGGATAATTAAAACAACAGTATTACAAATAAATACATATGCTCATGTTTTCAGCCATCTCAGCTATGTCATTCTATGTCTGGCAGCCTGAAGGGCTGGCAGGGTGGGAAAAGATTGGTCAATTTGCTTAAAGAGCTTAATCATAAGGAAATATACCTGGACATTTGGGGCCTGACAGCTAATTGCCCTAGTTAGATCCACTCCATCTCTGAACAATACGATCCAACCTTCAACCTCACTGGGTACCATCTGAAATGGAACACCCCAAATTTGTTGTAAGTTCTAATTTAAGGTCTAAATGGAGACATGACTTTGAGATACACCCTGCCAGGTTCCATGTGTCTGAGTGCCAAACATCATGGAGACAAGGGCTGCAAAAAAGAATAGGTAAAATAAATACAAGATCATCAGCTTTTCTAAAGGGAAACTGACTTGACAAAGGGTGCAATGATGGTGAAGTAAGGTTTAGTGTTGAGATGCCTGGGAGTGTTGTTGGGTTGCAAGAGACATTTTACTGTATTAAGTAGGCCCTGGATTGTGATATTGGCAACAGCAGAGTGTGAGGATGAATTTTCCCCTAGTAGCACTAGTCTCCAGGCCACATTTGGAGCAGGTGGATCATCAACATAAAAATCTCGATGCCAGAATCCTTGCGGAAAGGGGAAAAGAAATGCTAGATTCTGAAAGACCTGGGGGATCCTGCACTATTAGTTTAGAAAACAACAACAAAAACAAACAAACAAACAAACAAAAAAAACAGTATTTCAACATTAAGCTAGTTGGAGGACATTGCCAGGAAATAAATAACCCTATTCTTATTATTATTTTCAACAACAAACATGTCTCAGAAAGGTGGGCCAAGAAACACGTTACAGTTTAAAATGCAATTAAGTAGATGTACTAATTGCTAAACTTCTCAGTTACTTATAATAAAAAAGTTATTTGTGTGGTGTGTGGTTAAGCTATATTTGTTGCCAAATTTCTCCACTCTCCTAGTGGCAGTTATTCTGAATTTTAGATAGTTTTTTAAAAATATAAATTTAATGTCCAGAGAAGGTTGGACTGCTAGGTTGATAGGTTTGTTTGTGGCTTTAGTTTGCTTTCATGGCAATCAATATATCTTGAGAATACAAACCAACACTGGTAGAATAGGGAATGGATAATTTAGTAATACCATGAGGTTTGCAATTCCCAAAACAGTTACAGAAATGCAAAGCGTAAGTTCTACTCATCAAATTCGGAGTCTCTTTTGAAATTCTTATTTCATTTCTGCTGAAAATTTGTGAATTTTTTTGTAGCAACTCTAAGCTCAGGTCAGGATCACCATGGGAGTTTGAACCAGGATGAACATTTATTTCAGGTCTCCCAGAAAAGGCAAACTTGTGTTTGCTAAGAAATAGGCTCATGCCGCTTTCTGTACCTCAGGTTTCCCAAGTTTCCATTCCTGCTCCTCTTCTTAGCCCTGATTAGGACAGTTTAGCAATGAGGGAATCATCGTTGCCATCTGTTTTCTCTACAAGTCCAATGGGAGATTGATTGACAAATTGGATCTCTTAGATTAAACCACCATTAACATTTCTCTTTTGTTCTGAAAATTCACATTCAGCATATTGAGTGATCTTATCATATCAATAATTAAATACTATCTTGTGAGCCACTGGAGTTCCAATAATAATTTCCATATTTCAAAATTTCTTTATGTCAGAAAGTATTTATTCAACCTAGATTTCTTTCTTCCTCTCTCTTTTTCTCTCTCTAGTATAAGCACATACACTAAAATTAATCCATTTAATCCAAAAGTTCTGTTCTTCTCTATGCTTAAGGGCGAAATATGACAAAAATCCATAATCCTGACCAATTCCTCCATTATATTATGATACCATGTAATAGATTTTACTGATAAAGTTCACAGTACAAGCTCGCCTTACAAATAATTTAGTGGGAGTTAGGCATACTGACTACCTCTTATGTCATGAATAAAAGGTTAAGTTGACTTTTTCACTTTCACTGTAGAGCTGTAAAACCAATATAGCACGTACTGTTGTTTTTTTTTTTTTTTTTTTTTTTTTTTTTTTTGTTGCGGGGGACAAGGTCTTACTCTGCTGCCCAAGCTGGAGTGCAGTGGCTCAATCATAGCTCACTATAACCTTGAACCCTGGGGATCAAACTATCCTCCCACATCAGCCTCCAGAGTAGCTAGGACTACAGGCATGTACCACCATACCCAGCTATTATAACTTTTAATTTTTTTGTAGAGATAGGGTCTCCCTATGTTGCCCAGGCTGGCTTCAATTGCCCAGGCTGAGTTCAAACTCCCAACCTCAATTGATCCTCCTGCCTCAGCCTCCCAAGAACTAGAATTACAGGCATGAGCCACCATGCCCAGCCTAGCACACTCCGTACTAGTAATCTAAACTTGGTTTTGCTATTACTCACTGTGTGACCTGAAACTACTTTTACAACCTCTGTGTATCAATCTCCTCAGCTGTAAAATGAGGCTAAACTTGCATCTATCCCCTAGGTTTAGTGTGATAAATACATGTGTACATATGTAAAATACACATACAGCAGTGTCTGGCACGTAAGGAAAACACAATAAATATTAGCTACTGCCTTTAGCAACTACTTTACAGTGTTGAGAATCAAGTCATTTCTTGCTGTCAATTAGTTATGCTTCTCAGTTTATGTATATGTTCATTTCTTTTTCTTTTTCATTTATTTTGTTCTAAAAATCGTAAGTCAAAAGGCAATCTAGCACACTCTTGTCCCTCAGATGGCATGTTCAAAGACCACAACACAAACTTACTGATTAAATGCTATTTTAGGGAGTTAAATGTCACTTGGAAACCAAGTAACTCCAAAAAAAATGCATTTCATGATGAACATGTTAAAAAATAGTATAATAACTTCGCAAGTGATCACTAAGCAAACAAAAAATAAAATGCAAACGATCTACCTAATTAAGATAGACAAATGCTTATACATCATTTTACAAAATTTTTATTTGTGAAATTAAGATACTGTTCTATCTATGCCATTGGGTTTTTTGAGGATTATAAGTGTTAACTTACAGAGTGATTAGCAGTGTCACACAACTGAAAGAACCTAATAAATGCTAGCTAGCTATTATTAGTGGTAAAGTGAAAAGTAATTATCATAGGACAGCAATAAAAACTTCATGAGAACAAAAATTTACTGTTTCAGAATTAAATAGTTATCTGGCTCACGCCTGTAATCCCAGCACTTTGGGAGGCCGAGGCGGGCGGATCACGAGGTCAGGAGATCGAGACCATCCTGGCTAACACGGTGAAACCCCGTCTCTACTAAAAATACAAAAAATTAGCCGGGCGTGGTAGCGGGCGCCTGTAGTCCCAGCTACTCGGGAGGCTGAGGCAGGAGAATGGCGTGAACCTGGGAGGCGGAGCTTGCAGTGAGCCGAGATCGCGCCACTGCACTCCAGCCTGGGTGACAGAGCGAGACTCCGTCTCAAAAAAAAAAAAAAAAAAAAAAAAAAAAAAAGAATTAAATAGTTATCAATGACTGTCAACCAGGGATAATTTTATCTTCTACCACAGCTGGGGTAGGTATTATTGACATCTACTAGGTACAGGCAGATGCTGCTAAACATGTTATAATGCACAGGACATCTGCCCACAACAAAAATTATCTGGTTCAAATTGTCAATAGTGCCAAGCCCAAGAAACTTTGTTTTAGGTAAACACATTTTTGTTTATCTCTAAAGTATTATGCCAATTATGCCTTCTTTTGAACTCTGTAGACTATTATGAATATATAAACAAAATAAAGAGAAAGTTAGGTTTTTCCCCTCATTAAAACTGGCAATTTGAAAAAAAATTAAAAATTATCACTGGAAACATTTCCAAATTAGAGAACATGTAGTCTAACTATAATATACTAATGCTAATTAAATAATAGTGAGTGAAATTTAAAATGCAAATATTTATTAGGTATTAAACATTTAAAATTGACATTATTTTTATTCACTAAGAAGACTAAAAACAGAATGATATATGAAGAGATGTGGATTGAAGAAGTTACCTACTTGGATCAGTAGATGTACGTCTCACAATTCTACATTCCTAGAGGACTCATGTGATTGGGAATGTTATTCAAAATATTTTTAAAACTCTGTAAAACAGCCACTCAGCAATCAAATAGGACATCTTCCATGAGAAAGGATGCCTGTCATAAGCAGTGAAGAGAGCTTTATAGGTGCACACCTGCTGGATATCAATCCTATATGTAAGAATTTATGGATATTAAACTTAAGAATTCTGGTCAGTTCTAAACCCACCCTTCATCTTTCACTTTTCCTTTTTAATAAGGATTTGCTTATTCATTACAATAATTTTTCAAAATTAAAGTGTTCACCTACTTCTTACATTTAATACCAGTGTTCTTTACAGGATATTTAGGCTATTAAGGAACAAAACAAGAATCACGGTTAAAAAAAAGTAATTTCTACACAATAAATTTTAAATGGCAATTTACTTTTGCAAGTTTCTCATGATATCTTTCAAAGTGAAGTTTTTGGCCGATTAGAGAGGGCTAATAATCTGACTTGAGTTTGATCAAGCAATATTGGAAGTAACAACTTATTATGTTTCAACTAGCCATCAATTAATAGCTTTTAGTTTTAACAGAATAAAATACTGAATAGCAGATATTATTTTATAACATATATAAATATTATGTATATATATCAGAGAATCAGAGTTAATGAATTTGCTTTTTCAAAACTTCTACATTTATTTGTGTATAAATGTATGTTTTCATATATATACTCTTTCATGCCAATATGCAAAACTTTGCATAGACATGGGTACATTTATATTTAACTTTATAAGGAGGATCTCAGATAGCTTACTAAAAAAGACATATGAAAAAAGTGAAATATGATTTCAGGACCCAGGTCTAACGTGAATTTTAATGTAATAAGCATTGATAATCTGAATATCCAGCAACATACTGATATATCAATGTGAAAGATTTAGGTATCTTGGCTATACTCTAGCTCTTACCTCAAAAAACAAAACAAAACAAAAAAACCCAGACTAAAGTATTTCTAACACTTTTCTACAAGTAGAAACCAAAAAGAAATTTTGGTATAGTCTACAAGGCACTAAAAATTTAATTAGCCAGAACATTAAAGGACCTCTATGTTCATGAAATTTTACTATTGGATAGACACATATAAGTTTAATTTTTTAACCTTCTTATATGCTACAGGGTATTTTTTTCATTCTAATAACAATGGGTTTTGTTAGGAAAAGCAAATTGACCTTAATTTGCTCTGTCAAGACAGTTTTTTCCCTCCTATTTGTATTATAGTGAGAAAAAGTCTGGATAGAATTGTAATCTAGAGAGACTATCTAATTTTTCAACAAAGCTTCATGGGGTGGCATTACCGTAAAATCTGGTTCTCTACAAAACTAAAATATTGATTTTGTCAGTAAGTATTTAAGGAATTGATTAAGTTCTGGGAGACTGACTCATACTAACCCAGATTGGCAAATAGGTTCGGACTCCAGTGCTAACTAAGATCCATTTGCTATAGCTGCTCAGTACAGCAGGGCAGATAGTGGTAATCTATGGTTTTGGTCTGGAAATGGAATTAATAGCACTTGTAGCATGTATTTGCCATTTATGTACTAAGCAAATTAAATAGAAATCAGCATATAAATTGCTAATTTATTTATTTGCAATAAATACATCTCTCTAGTGCTTAGAATGCATGAGCTCACTATTCTCCTGGCTTCTTATGTCATAGAGTAGGAGCAGAGCTCAAAGAGGTGCATAATTTTGAAAATCATTTTAATTAAATCTGATGAATTGTGCCTGACATACCACAGAGAATACCTTCATATGTTAGCCTGTCCTTGCCTTCCATGACTGGTGTCTTCTCTAAGCAGCAATAGACAAACACTGCCAAATTCCCATTTTCAAATTTATCTTTTTTTTTTTTCTTTTTTTTTTATTATACTTTAAGTTTTAGGGTACATGTGCACATTGTGCAGGTTAGTTACATATGTATACATGTGCCATGCTGGTGCGCTGCACCCACTAACGTGTCATCTAGCATTAGGTATATCTCCCAATGCTATCCCTCCCCCCTCCCCCAACCTCAAATTTATCATTAGGTCCAGTCTAACTACTCCGTTTGTTTTTGAATCACCTGTATAATTTCATGGAGGGAAAACTCAATAAAAATTTAATTATTTTTGGATTCATTTACATTCTAGACTTGCTTTGAGAAGACTACAGCAGGTTATGGTAAGAATTTTTGAAATGGTCAAGAATTCTCACTTACAGCAGAACAATAAAGTTTTGATATGAATAACCTAGGGATGTGTAACTCATACATTGCCAATAGACTTTATTTGATTAGGTTTCAGGTAGCAACTTTGTTTTCTTTATTCTCAAGTCCCTTTAGGAGTAGAGAGGAGTAATTTAACTGTGTCTGTTCTTATGGTTTTATTATTTTGCACACTTCGTGTTTACAGCATTTTCCTTATGAGTCTATATCCCTTGGGGTATGGAATCATATACCATTCATTATTGTATTCTTACAGCTCTTCCCACACTGACTTGCATAGAATAGCTTTAAATATATTGTTTGAATAATTGAATAAGTGAAAAATGGATTAGAGAAGGATTTCAATTTTCTTGTCTTGAAGGTTGAAGCAACTGTGATTTTATATTTAAAATAATGGTACAATTGTCACAAATATTCAGATATTTTCTTGTTTTTCCACAATTATTCAAATTATTGCTTGGATAATAATTCAAATGGAATGGAATAAAAATGATTGACTTATTTAAGAACTTAGTATAAAGTAAAAACCAGCAGTAGATGTTGCAGTCAAAAATTATTAAATAGACTATAGGCTGTTAGGAGAAGTTAGTAGCAAACTGTCCACCAATATCAGTGTCCCAAGTCAGTGGTCACAAGAGCGGTAATTTGGGTCTGTTTTATTTGGAAGTTTAGACTCATTGGAAACCCGTTCTTTGCTTAGTTTCCATGTTCAGAGAAACCTTCTGCAAGTTAAACAGCTCTCCAATCAGAAAAGAAAAACTTGATGCTGTCTCAGGCCTCATTAACAGAAGCAAGAACTATCATATACAATTTAGGTCAAACGCAAAGTAAAATAAATTTAAGACTTTCTCATCAAAAAAAAAAAAAAAAAAAAAACCCACATCTGTGGATTGACTAGTAACAGAGCTGCCTTTCAATACAAGCTTATAAAGCTAAAGTTAAAACTCAGATTTGAGAGCAGTTTAATAATAATTGATAAATACGATACAAGGAAATATAAACTAAATCAGGGATGAATCAGTGCCTGTTAGAGATTTGTTTTTTTTTAAGCCAGTTATTTTTTTTCTTACAATTCCATGCAATTGTAAAAACTATATTTATATGGAGCAGTTTGTTTTTGAGTGATTGGCCACTATCTGCTACTTGATGACCCATAACTATTGGGCCCATGGAAAGAGTTACAACTTTTACCATAGAATCCAGCATCACGAACTTTTGTGATCCTGGGATCACAGGAAGATTCTTATTTCAATTAATTCACCAGTATAACCTTTCCTTTTCTTCTAAAGTCATGTGCTTCATATTAGAAAATAATATATAGGTCATAGCAATAGGATGCAGTACAGAGATAATACTTTCAAATACACTAATCAACTCCCACTTTATTAATGGGTATTGGAAGCTTCTATTATTCTTTCCATTTAGACACACTGATCTTGTGTTAAAATGAAGTGTTCACCATATGGAAAATAAAATGTATCTTTACCTCCACTTTACATTATGCAAAACAATTAATTTCAGATGAACTTCAGATTTAAATGTAAATGATAAAACAAGTTTCTAGAAAAACCTTGTATGTAGATCTTCATGATTTTGGAGTAAGAAGCATTCTTTTAAAAAAGACAAAAAGTACTAACTACAAAAAATGTAATAATTTGGACTACATTACAAATAAGAACTTCTGTTCATCACTATTTACAGGGTGAAAAGACAGACAGAAGAGAAGATTTTCAAAATACATTCACTTGACAAGAGACTTTTATCCATTATATTCAAAGGGCTTCTACAAATCATGAGGGGAAAGAAGGGGGGACTATAACTTCAACAGGCACTCCATAAAAGAAAAATATCCTCGAAGCAAATAAATATACAAAATAAATCATCCATCAGAAAAATGCAAATTAAAATCTGAATCTAATATATGTCCAGCAGTTAAAATAAAATGATGACGACAGAAAATAACAAGTGTTGGTGAAGAAACGGAAAATTGGAATGCTTTCAGTTACTACTTCAAATAGTAAAATTGGTATAAACACTTTGGGAAACTGGCAGCATCAGCTAGCATTAATATGTAACATGCCTTATGCGTACTCCTTGAGCTAGCAATTTCATTCCTAAGTATATACTCAACAAAACTACAGACATATCCAAAAAGATGTATATAGAACCCCTATCTGTAATGAGCAAAACTGTAAAAAAATCATCAACAGAAGTATATAAATTCTGTCTTATTCATATAACAAAATATTTTGAGGCAATCAAAATGAATGAATTTTTTCTACAAACTTCAACATGGATGAATCTCACAGATATAATGCTGAACGAAAGAAAGACAAAACAGTACACACCGTATGATTCTATTTATATACAGTTTAAAATTAATCAGAACTAGTTGAATAGTGTTAAAAGTCAGGATACCTTTGGGGAGATCTTAACTGGAGCGTGCATGAATGAGAAATCTGGGCATGCTAGTTATGTTCTGTTTCTTGATCTGGATGATGGTCACACGGAAATTTGTTGAGTTGTAAACTTATATGCACTATATTATAATTGCTTCATCTTTAAAATTGTGCATTGTATAATGTCTCCAAATAATTTATTTTAGAAAAAAATGTGTCATTTAAATAACTATCACAGCAATTTGAGTACTCAGGGCACCCTTTTTATTATTATTATACTTTAAGTTCTGGGATACATGTGCAGAACGTGCAGGTTTGTTACAGAGGTATATATGTGCCATGGTGGTTTGCTGCACTTATCAACCCATCATCTAGGTTTTTAAATTTATTTTAATTTATTTTATTTATATTTTTTGAGACAGAGTCTCGCACTGTCGCCCAGGCTGGAGTGCAGTGGCGCAATCTCGGCTCACTACAAGCTCCACCTCCCGGGTTCACACCATTCTCTTGCCTCAGCCTCCTGAGTAGCTGGGACTACAGGTGCCCGCCACCATGCCCGGCTAATTTTTTGTGTTTTTAGTAGAGATGGGGTTTCACCATGTTAGCCAGGATGGTCTCGATCTACTGACCTCATGATCCACCCGCCTCAGCCTCCCAAAGTGCTGGGATTACAGGCCTGAGCCACCGCGCCCAGTCCCCATCATCTATGTTTTAAGCTCTGCATGCATTAGGTATTTGTCCTAATGCTCTCCCTCCCCTTGCTCCTCACTCCCTGACAGGCCCAAGTGTGTGATGCTCCCCTCCCTGTGCCCATGTGTGCTCATTATTCAACTCCCACTTATGAGTGAGAACATGGGGTATTTGGTTTTCTGTTCCTGTGTTAGTTTGCTGAGAATGATGGTTTCTGGTTTCATCCATCTCGCTGCAAAGGGCATGAATTCATTCTTTTTTATGGCTGCATAGTATTCCATGGTGTATATGTGCCACACTTTCTTTATCCAGTCTATCATTGATGGGCATGTGGGTTGGTTCTAAGTCTTTGCTATTGTGAATAGTGCTGCAAGAAACATCCGTGTGCATGTGTCATTATAGTAGGATGATTTATAATCCTTTGGGTATACACTCAATAATGGGATTGCTGGGTCAAATGGTATTTCTGGTTCTAGATCCTTGAGGAATCACCACACTGTCTTCCACAATGGTTGAACTAATTTACACTCCCACAAACAGTGTAAAAGTGTTCCTATTTCTCCACATCCTCTCCAGCATCTGTTGTTTCCTGCCTTTTAATGATCGCCATTCTAACTGGCATGAGATGGTATCACACTGTGGTTTCAATTTGCATTTCTCTTACGACCAGTGATGATGAGCTACAGAATGGGAGAACATTTTTGCGATCTGTCCATCTGACAAAGTTCTAATACCCAGAATCTACAAGGAACTTGACCAAATTTACAAGAAAAAAACAACCCCATCAAAAAGTGGGTAAAGGCTATGAACAGACACTTCTTAAAAGGGCACCCTTTTGATGAGTGGGAGTCATTCTGTATCTACTGAGATAAGCTACCTTCCCTTGTTTCCTAAATCTTTCCAAAGGCTTATTTTTGGGAAGCTGCATACATATTTGAAATATGTAACTTTGCCTTTTTGTTGTTTGACAGCCTCAAAGTTCTTTTTTTCAATGAACCTAGGGTATAGTACAATACAATGAAAACTATTTCATAAAGTATGTTTAAGGAATACAAGATAATAATAACCTTTTCTTACTGTGAAATAAAAGGATGTCATGGAACAGTAGGGTTCCTTTCTGAAAATTTGAAGAAAAAATGTAAATTGGAGACAATATCTATTGCTGTATAAATAGTAAAACTTCCTCCTTTCAAAGAATTGGCGTATCTTCTCAAACCCAAACACTAAAGACCATGGCCAAAATGTCTAATTTATATAGAATTTTTTTGTATTGTTTCTGGAAAGACTATAATGTACACAGCAACAAATGCAACATTATTCCTATATAAAAACATTTTTTTCAAAATATCATTCCAATCTATATTTAAATAAAACCAAGTGAGCACTGCTGTTTCACTATATTCATTTCAAGGACACTTACAGATATATTGTGTAACAATTTTCTGCCAATATCACAGCAGGTTTATATACTCAGCTGCACATAACTGCAGTATTTTTCTTAAAGCTTTGATACTCTTGAATGAGAGGTGGAGCACTAAGTGTAGACATTTAATGTATTAAATTTCTAAGACTTCAAAGGGAGCATAATTAACTCAATGCTACATAATTTCTCCAGGGACAGAAAAAAAAGAAAAAGATGCAAACAGAATTGATATGCTTATTTTTCCCCTTAGCAATTACATGACAATGCTAAGTGAGCAATTTCTTTGATAAAACTCATTCTTCTGACTTTAAAGTTAATATTTCTCTTGAATATTTCAATAACTTTGCATGCTAACTTATAAAGTATAGAAAACAGTAGGGTTGAAAGTTCTGCTATTCCCCTTTTACCAGAATTTCTCCCCTCAACTTCTCTCTGTTTAAGGCACTTGCTGAACTTGGTTGTGTCTCTGACCTCATCATAACCTTTAGTTTCTCTGTCTTTCCTAATTTCTCAATCCATCAGTTTCTTTCCAGCTTCATTTGCCTTTCTATCATATAATCCATGGTAAGCCGTTTTCAATAAATTCTTTTCAGATGCAAAAATTCTGCACCCCTTTGACCTGCTAACAACCTATTTGACCAGTTTCAAACTCTGGGTGTCCTCTACAATCTGCAGAGGTGCAGAACATAGCTGGAGGAAGTTAGAGAAGAATGTGAGTTAGATCTAGAGAGGCCTTTAATTTATTCAACTATATATTTGGAATTCAACAAAATATTACATATTATATTTTTCAAATCTGAAATGCCATGATTTAATATTGTTTCATAAAATCTATAAAAACTGGTCTTAAACGTCCCTTATCATTGTTGAGCTTTAATCTCTAAAAATCTGAAAGAATATTCTGGACCTTTCAACTCAAGAAAGTTAAAGGAGATGACTCCCAGAGTCTCATGAAAATATGAAGAATTGAATACGTATATGAGCCAACAACCATGAGAAAAGGAACAGAGGCCATCAGAAAAGTGTTTTGCCTAAATTACTGAAAAATAAAAATGAAGCAGTGACGCTTGATCAGAGGTAGCAATGATATCTGGTGAAGCAGGGTGGCAGAAGCCGTAGACTACAGACTGTCATAAGGGCAGCAATTAAGCATCAAGACCTCTACCTGCAGAGTCATAGAAGTCTTGATAGTTGAAAAGGCCAAATAAAAGGTAGGTGTGAGATGGAGAGCTCAAAATATGGGAACATAGAGGATTCTTGTCATTCACAGTAGCGAGGTTCTATAAAATCCTATGAATGCTGTGTTTATGAATACTGAATCATTGCTTCTAGGGGAATGGTTTGGTTCTTTGTAAGCCTCTGCCTTTTTTGTATTTATATTTAAAAGCACTTTATTTAATATGCATTGCTGATTCTTTAACATTGAACTCGTGGCCAACAGCACTATAACTCTTGCCTATACATAGCTTATCTAACACAAGTATTTTCTGTGTGATGCACATCACAGCTTTCTTGTGCTTAGGGACACTAGACCAGCACTTTAGCACTATGTTTGGGAGATATTTTAAACAGGGAAATCACTGATGAAAGCACAAAAAATTGAAAAAGGCACTAAATAAATAGATAGAGAAAAGAACACTTGCTTGTCATAGAGGAGCTAAAACAAGAATGCAGAGAGCAGCTTTATTTGACCTTAATTACTAACAACTCAAGTTTTTGAGCTATGCAAATATATGATCATGAAAGTGCACTGAGTATTGATTTTGGAATTACAAATAAAGCTTAATGAATAGGTGAATTTGCAAAAAACAAAATCAGTTAATAAAGCAGACTGATTGTACGTAAATGTATGTTGATTCTCACATGCTGTCACATGCAAAATGTTCCTGAAAGCTGATATTTATCCCTTGAAAAAAAAAGTAAGAAGCATAGGATTCTCTTCTAAATAAATAGGTGAATTTTCTAGGTGAATTGGGGCAACTAATGTCGCCATTATTATCCAAGAGCAAGGCAACATAAATACACATGCAAAAGCTAGCACTACCTCCAGTAAAATAACCATATCCATCTTCTATCTACTCAATCTAAATGATCAAATTACCATTATGTAATAAATTAATGCTATTGATGTTCTGAGGTAAATAATTTTTTAACTTAGAAATTTACAATTAGCCACATTATTCATCAAGGATGAAGTTAGAATGAATACATTTTCATAAGTGAATATAATAACAATGATTGTGGATGCTTGTCATTCACAGTAGTTAGGTTCTATAAAATTCCTATGAACACTGCATTTGTGAATATTGAATCACTGCTCCTAGGGGAAATACAGAGTTTGGTCCCTGCCAGCCTCTGGTTTTATGCATTTCTATTTAAAGGCACTTTATTTAATATTCATTGTTGATTCATTATCATTGAACTTGTGGCCAACAGCACTATAACTCTTGCCTCTACACAGCTTATCTAACACAGATGTTTTCTCTGTAAGAAAAAAAAAAAACCCTCTTCCTTCAGAAGTTACTTCAAGATATTTCCCAGCAAGGCCGGAAACTAAGAAATTGTTAAGACACAGGAACCAGGAATTTGTGGATCTGACCCACTAGAATTTATCTGATTTTAAGGATGCACCAGAAACAGAGCAGGAAAGGGGGTCTCTGGGAGGAAAGGGTGCAGTCAGGAAATGGGGATTTTGGAGATTTGTTATTGAAAACAGCAATTTAGAATTTTCATACCCAAAGATGAAGAAAAAAGTAAGAAAAGTAATAATTCAAACAAGAAACCTGAAGCTGAGTGATAAAAAACTAAATATAATCATATCTTAATACTTTGTTGTACAGTGAACAATATTTATAGTGATAAAACATAAGCAAATTACAGATTTTCATCTTATAAAGCCAACTTTTAGTCAAGCATGAATAATTTATTTCTAGTAACAGAATAGAAAATACGTGCTTCCAACACACTCAATATAAAAGTAAATCTGTGGGACATGGAAGCTGAGAGGTAGAAGAGTGGAAAAATAGTGAACGAACTTTTACAACTAGTATATTGTCTTTACAATTACTATACTGTCAACAGTAGTTGGTATGGAAATAGAAGTGTAACTGTGTTATATAAAGTTATTTAAAATTGTGCTATAACTAGTAATATATTGAGAGGATGTGCAGGTGTAGGTGAAGGACATGAAGTAAATCATCACTTATTATATAAGAAAAGGTAGGTAAGAGATGACAAACTAATAAATCAACCAGTAATATTTACTAGAGTAAGTAAAAATTAAAACAAAAAAGTTAAAGAGCTAAGAGTCATTTAATCTACTGATATGGTTGGCTTTGTCCCCACCCAAATCTCATCTTAAACTGTAGCTCCTGTAGTTCCCATGTGTTGTAGGAGGGACCTGGGGGAGGTAATTGAATCATGGGAGCAGTTTCCCTCATACTGTTCTCTTGGTAGTGAATAAGTCTTATAAGATCTGTTGGTTTTATAAGGGGTTTCCCCTTTGGATTGGCTCTCATTCTCTCTTGCCTGCCACCATGTAAGACATACCTTTCACCTTCCACCATGATTCTGAGGCCTCCCCAGTCCTGTGGAACTGTGAGTCCATTAAACCTCTTTTTCTTTATAAATTACCCAGTCTCAGGTATGGCCTTATCAGCAGCATGAGAATGGACTAATACATTTACCAAGGGAATATTATATAACCATTAGATATTATTAGGAACACATCGTATGTCTCAATAGAATGATCTAGAAGTTACTAAGTTTAAAATTCCAAGCTCAGAATTTAAACATAGTACATAACTATTTATGTAAGAAAAATAATAAAAATGTGTGTGTGTGTGTGTGTGTCTGTATATACTTGGAATGCCACATAAGAAACACTATTTGCCTCATGAAAAGGAACTCAGGTGTTTGAGGAACAGTGGCAGGATATTACCTTGTTGAACCTTTTAAATTTTGAACAATGCAAATACACAGGATATGCTAAAAGTAAATACAAATTAAATTTTAAAATAAAAAATAAATACTTCTGAAAAGAATAACTGGAGGTAGAAATAAATAGACTCTTGTTTTGTAATTTTAAAAGCCTCAGTAGAATTTGATTTTTTAATTCTGTTCATATATCATACACACACACACACACACACACACACACACAAGCACACACAGACACATTCTGAATTGTTTGCCCACCACTGTTTACCTGATTAATTCTTATTTATTTTTCAAGAGTCTGGTGACACAACTTATCTGTGAAATTTGTTCTGACTCTGGCTAAGCTCTCTGTAGCATGAGTCAGTTCTCCTACGGTATTCCAGAACATCATTGATCCATCATTATTATAGAATTTTCTTTCACATAGTAATATTTAATTATATGCTGCCTCTTCCACTAGACTGAGTGAAACTCTAGGTCACACAGAAATAATTTCTCTTTGTGTCTTCAGAATTTCAGTGTACTCTTTCAAATTTAGTTCTGCCTGTCTTTTGAATGAACTGCTCCCAGCACTAATAGGGTCAGCCTATTCCCTACTCAAAAGAAACAATCCTAGAACCCATCGAGGAGGTGGGATGTGTCTGAGAACAACTAATTGAGAAACAGGAACCATCTTGCAGGTCAGAGAACAGTACAATAGGGTGAGCTTAGGCTAGGATAGAGGTGGTGGTAGTTCACATTCTGTCTGCCATTCCTACATCATTGCTTAAGATGCCTGTGGAATAACTGGTCCACAGTTTGGAGACATAAAATCAGTGATTATAAAAGATAAGTTACTTAAAAAAATGGTGGATGAGTGGGGAAAGACAGAAAAGTCTTTAAGGAAAGATAATAGATTTTATGTGTTTGGGGACCAAGATGGAAGGGATACATTATTATAAGTATAAAGTTCAGGGTCAAGGTTGGGGGACAAGGTGAGAAGTTAAGATCATATCAGTTGAAATTGATTATCAGAAAGACAAGGATTATCAATGAAAATTCCTTTAATGAAGTCTGAACTAATTCTGTCTACCTTTGAAGCAACAATTGTAGGTTATTGGTAATGAGTAGTAGTCCCCTGGCAGAGCTTCATGAATTCTAACACTCTGGGGTCTTAGCTCATCAATATTCTTTTTCCATTCTACAATCTCCTCTTCATCACTGGTTGCTTTCCCAACACCTGTGTGAAAAGGCTCAGCTTGTTTTATCCTAAAAATGAAACAGATATCCCTGGTTCTGATATCAGTCTCATGGGATTTTTAAAAATTTTAAACCATAATTTACCCTTACTTTCGTCACCAAACGTCTCAACAGGGTGGTCAACACACCCACCTCTACCCATTCCTTCCCTAGCCCTTTGCCTTCTTGCTGCATGCCCCGCCTCCGTGGTTTTATTTATGGTCTTCCTGCTGCTTAGAATGTTCTTCCCACCCTTTTCTGCCTGATCCAATCCACATGTCCTTTAACGCTCAACTCAAGAAGCACCTCCTTCAAGATACCATCTATAACAAGCTCCTTCCTCAACATTTCATGACTGTATACTTTACCTCTACAACCAGACATGGCTGGCTCTGGAGATCAGCGTAGATGTATGTGTTCTGCCATTACATGCATCTTGTAATGCTGATACTCTTTCATTTTCCTTCTCCAACACCAGGCTATAAACTTGAGAAAAGGAATGGGATCTTTGTTGTCATTGTATCGCTAGTGCCTAGCATAGTTTCTACGATGAACTGGAAAACCAGTGAACTAGTAAATCAATGCATATTAAACTGATGAAAAACAAATAAACTACATCTCGAGCACTGATCTTTTTCCTGGTCTCCAGTCATGCATTTATAACCAACCTGTCTGGGAACCAAGGTTAAGTGCACAAACTCTAGAGACAAACTTATTGGAATTAATCCCAGATCTGCCTCTTCCTAGTTGTGTCATCTTGACAACTTAAACCCTGTACACCTCAGTTTTCTTATCTACAAAACAAGGATGATGTTAGTACCAACTCAAAGGCTTTTTATGAAGATTATATGAGTTCATTTTTTAAAAAGGTGTTAGAAAAGAAAGCAGTAAGTAGTAAGAAGATAGTAAGTACTATAAAGGTGTTAAAACATAGTTAAGACCACCTGAAGAATCCACTGCTAGCTCAAATTTTACAGGATCCAAATTGAACTCTCAAACATACTCCTCTGCCTTATTTGCTCATAACAGCTAATGGTAACTGTTATGGGTAAAGTTGTGCCATCACTACCTCCTTCTCAAATTTATATGTTGAATTCCTAATATCCGGTACCTTAGAATATGACCTTATTGGAGATAAGGTCTTTACAGAGGTAATCAAATTAAAATTAGGTCATTAGGGTGAACCCTCATCCAAACGACTGATGTCCTTATAGAAAAAGGAAATTTGGATACACAAACAAACACGAAGAGAAGAAAATGTGAATAGACATTGGAAAAAGAATTCATCTACAAGCCAAGGAGGGAGGCTTAGAACAGTTCCTTCCCTCACACCCCTCAGAAGGAATCAACCTTGCCAACATCTTGATTTTAGATTTCTAGCCTCCAGAACTGTGAGATGCAAACTTTCTGTTGTTTAAGCCAATGGCAGCTCTAGCAAAGGAATACACTAGCATTATCTCTGCTATAATGAACTACCCAAGATGGGTCATTTATAAATGAAAACAGTTTAATTTTCTCACAGTTCCACATGGCTGAGGAGGCTTCAGGAAACTTACAGTCATGGTGGAAGGAGAAGCAAGCACCTTCTTCACAAGGAGGCAGGAGAGAGTCAGAGCGCAGCAGAAACTGCCACATTTAAACAATCAGATCTCATGAGAACTCCCTCACTATCATGAGAACAGCATGGGGGAAACCGCCCCCATGATCCACTCACCTCCCACCAGGTCCCTCCCTCAACACGTGGGAATTACCATTCAAGATGAGATTTGGGTGGAGGCACAGAGCGAAACCATATCATTACCACTTCTGTTTTATAAATTCCTAACCCATGACACGAAGTCCAGTTCAAATATACCTGCTCAGTGAGGTTTTCTCTGATCTCCTCCAACAAAAATGACCATAGATGCTTCAACCGCCTCTATTGCAATTTTAACATCCTAATTTATATTACATCCTCTGTGTACTCACTCCCATCTTCCAGATTTGTGTTTCTTGAAGGAAAGACCCAACTTCTTTAAAATTGGAAATATTTTATATTATGAAAAAATGTAGTAGTTCAATAAGATTCTCTAAGTCATTTGCTGAACTCAAAAAGTAAAATGTGTATAATTTGTCTTTAAACTGCATAATGAAGTTTCCTATTAAAATGAAAAATTTTATATTACTGACAGTTTTCCACAAGTTTTACCCTTCCTAGTGATTTATATTCTGCCTTATGTTTTTTGATACCAACTATATTGTGAGTGTCAAAGAACTTCTAACATGTTCCTAATTTGGAATCTTTATAGCAGTACTTCAGGAGCTAACAGAAGCATAATAGTGAAATGAGGCAAAAAAAAAAAAAAAGTATTAAACAAATAAATTCCCGTCCTCAAATTTAAAATATTTTTAAAAATTCCATGTGAAAGTTTGTAAAGTCATGAACAGTTCTATCACTATGTAACATTAAAAACTTGAAGTGGGGCAAAAAGACATGACAATAAACTTTTACAAGGCAATAGCAGGCATTTTAGAACATAGAGATGTTATACCTATCACTAGAAAGTCTTAATTGTATTTTTACTAAGTTTCAGAGCTTCTAACTAAATGAACAGATACAATTAAAAATTTGAGGATGCAGCATCATAAAATGTACACTAGTCATCACTTTACAGAGTTTCAGACACTTAATTATTTGTGTTGGTACAAAGTTCACAGAGAAGATATAAATCTGTATATGTTTTGTAACAGTAATCATGTTTAGGCAATAATGTCCTGATTCAAGTAATTATTTTTTCAGAAGTAAAATTTTAACTTACAAAAATTACTAAGGATTAGTTAGAGAGCTGTGCACTTGTGAATTTATTCTTGATCTTGCCAGATTCATTCAGGTCAACAGCACTTTTAAACTTCTATAAGACTTCTTAAAATTGTTCTGTCTATGTGCCTAAATATATATAAACACAAATACTCTCAGCAACTAACTGGACAGTAAGGGGTAAATGAGATAAGTGAGGCATTCACTATGCTACCTCCATTAGTGTTAACAAGAATTGTGTAGTTAATTCCCTCGCACTGCTCTTAATTTTCATCTCCTCTGTAGGGTCTATTCCAAAGCTTTTAATTGTTTTGTACAACTCTCACCCCAAGACAATTTTCACTTACCTCAGTAATGAAGGATTTGGCTGTAGCAGGATTCATAACAAGGATCGCTCGCCTAAGAGTGTCTCGATAGCGATTCAGTTCTTCTATTCTCATGGTGTCAAAGAGAGTGGTAATCATTTTATTGATGTTGTTTTCTACCTTCTGAAGTGCAACATCCATTCCCTGCTGAGAGACTTTGTCCAAGAACTCCTGTATTCCACGGATATCTGGAAACATCAAAAGCCCATCAAAATACCTGTGAATTATTGTACAGAAGGAAGGCATAAGCTATTTCACCTATATCAGAATAGATTATTGTTCCACACTGTAGGCTGTCTAAAATTACCAACTGAGTAGCTGACGGAACTCTCAAGTATGTTTAAGGTTTGGTACATTTTGAAATGTTCACATGAAAAATGTAGGAATTGTTATTTTTTAAATGGATTTCTTTCTATCTACATGGAACCTAAATGATGTCAATCCTAGAAATGTTGGGTGAGGGTGCACGGAGATGGTTGGAGAGATGCCCCATTTCTCTAGAGCAAAACAAGAAGAAGGGAAAGACATTCCCTATTTTCCTTAGCATTTTAAAGAGTAATATTAACCTCATGTAAGCATGAATATCATTGATGACTGATGAATCTGAATCAAGATTATGAATGTTTCTTAAAATAGGCAACAGTATCACTAAACTTGACTTTTATCAGTTAAACAGAAAGTTTCAAAAGGTTATCTTCAAAGGGCCTCAGGTAACTTAGACCACAAATAAAAGCTGCATTTTAATCTATTTAATTAGTATTACCTCCTTAGCTAAATTTGGAAAAGTTGGTAGGAGATACCAAGTTTGCCTTAGTAAGGAGAAAATACTTAATGTGCAAAACATATTTTTTCAAAACATATTTCAGCATTTTAGAAAATATTAAGTAACATTTTTGATTGCATGATGATCAGCAAAATATTTACATACTTATTCCAAAATAAGCAAAGTTCTAGAAATTTATCAAATTAAAATGTCCAGTGTCCACGTCACACTTAAATAAGAAAAGTAAAATTCAATCTAAAGAGTTTATCATTTGTACTTTGATGTGTATTTAAGTAACAATAAATGTCTGAAATATCACAAATATTTCTTCTTAGTATCAGATTGCTTGTTTATAGAAGAAGATATCTGAAATAAGTATCTGGCACAATACAAGCTTAATATAGATTATGCTATAATCTTAATATAGTAGATTTTCTTTTACTATATCATGAACTATATTTTTCATTATATATCCAAAGAATAAAATATTTAAAGGGCAAATACTAGAGAAACAAGTAAATGGGATTGTAGGGAACTTATGAATAGACTAGATCTCAAAATCCTTAATAGTGTGTGCTTCCCTGCAAGTAAAATTTGCCTCTCAGTGGTAATAGTTAATTTATGTATTTTTCAACATACAAACCAGAAAAAGCAGTAAGTAAAACCACAGAACAGGAAAACAAATAGCCAAAAATTTAGAAACTACATTTACTCTTATAAACATTTACATTTGCAAGGTTACAAATTGACTAAAACAACAATTTTGCTTTCTTCTTCTGAATTCTTTCATTTCAAAATAGTTGTAAATATTATATGTTTACTTATCTGATGACTTTAAAAATCTTTACAACATATATACTGTATAAATTCTATCTTACATTTCTTATCATTAATTATGTGGTAAACTCAGGATGTTACCATCAAAGCAGGTTAAAAGAATAAAATCCTCAGCTAGGGCAGAGGATGAGATAAAAGAGGTGGAATAATAAAGGTGTTATGTATTCATTCAATATCCAAGTCAGAATGTACATAAAGGTGTAAGACTCTGAACCATGAATTAAGCAAAGGGTTAAATTTGATGGACTTTGGTTGACACTGGTAGAGGTACAATAACAAGACTATGTACATACTAAGCAGATGTTCTTAAACTTTGATGTGAATCAGAATCATCTGAGAAACTTATCAAAAATACACAAGCTTGGGCCTCACCCCAGAACCAATATACCTTTAGAATACATGTCAGAGGCCCAGTGTGGTGGCTCACACCTGTAATCCCAGGACTTTGGGAGACCGAGGGGGGCAGATCATGAGGTCAGGAGCTTGAGACCAGCCTGGCCAATATGGTGAAACCCCATCTCTACTAAAAATACGAAAATTAGTCAGGCGTGGTGGCACACGCCTGTAGTCCCAGCCACTTGGGAGGCTGAGGCAGAAGAATCGCTTGAACCCGGGAGGTGGAGGTTGCAGTGAACCGAGATCATGCCACTGCACTCCAGCCTGGGTGACAGAGTGAGACTCCATCTCAAAAAAAAAAAAAGAAAAAAAAAATACATGTCAGAGCAGACAGAGCAGATTATTGATTTCAAATTGTAAGTTGTTCTTTATTTGAGTTACTTAAATTGTACATCTGAATACAAGGCAAACAAAACAAAAGTAACACTGAAATAGATCCAAGATGCTCAGAAAACAGAGCATGACTAGAGAATAAAGTTTCAGATTACTTATTCTCTGTGAAATCTTCTGATTACAAAAATAAAATACCAGTACTAGTTTACATTTTCACTTTGAGAAAAAACTTGTTCTCCAAAAACATTTGTTGAATATTAGACACAATACTAGGAGCTAGGAGCACATCAATGAATACCCATTCAAACATTAAAACAGACAATAAACAAGTAAACAAACTAAAACCACAAAGCACACTAAGTGTTTGGAAGAAAACAATGAATGCATTGGTAGATGATAATAGGGTGAGGAGGAGGATATATTTTACTTAGAGGAAGGTTTCTCTGCAAAACTAGTATTTAAACTCTGAGGTAAAGTATAAGAAGACATTATCCAAGCAAATAGATAAGGAGAAAAGGCAACAGCTCAGAAAATGTCCAGGACATTAAAGAGCCTGTGGATCAAAAATCTATAGGAGACCACTGTGGTTGCAGCCTAGCTAGTGAGACATGAAGCTGGATGGAGAGGAAGAGTCAGGTTATGTAGATCTCTGTGAGACACAGGAAGAGGTTTTAATTTTATTCAAAATACAGCTTTAATCTATTGAAAGTTTCAAGTAGAGGATCTGCCTTAAGTGGATGACTGGATATGTGAGCAGAATGAAAAGCAGTTTAAGTCTGGAAGTGACGTGTTTGATTGCATGTTTTAAATTGGGGCTGGGCGTGCTGGCTCATGTCTGAAACCCCAGCACTTTGGGAGGCTGAGGTGGGTGAATTACTTGAGGCCAGGAGTTCGAGACCAGCCTGGCCAACATGGTAAACCTCGTCTCTACTAAAAATACATACCCAGGCTGAGGCAAGAAAATCGCTTGAACCTGGGAAGTGGAGGTTGCAGTGAGCTGAGATTGTGTCACTGCACTCCAACATGGGTGACAGAGTGAGATGCCCCCTCAAAAAAAATTTTTTTAATAAATAAATTGATCTAGTAAATTAATTATCCTTAATTTGAAACTATATAACGTTTTTTAGCTTTAATTTTTGATCAGAGTGATATGCATACTGAAAAGTGATGTGACAAAAGACCACTATAACCCCTCTGTTTCCTAACACTGGAATCCTGGTTGTCACTTCTTAGATATGTGACTGTAACATTTTTTGAAAATTTCTCCTCAACTGTAAATGAAGAATTTATTTGTTTATATTTATTTTTGAGACAGGGTCCCACTCTATTACCCAGGTTGGAGTGTAGTGGCATGACATCAGCTCATTGCAACCTCCACCTCCCAGGCTTAAGCGATCCTCCCACCTCAGCCTCCTGAGCAGCTGAGACTGCAGGTGCACACCTCCATGCCAGGCTAACTTTTGTATTTTCGGTAGAGACAGGGTTTTGCCATGTTGGCCAGGCTGATTTGAACTGCTGAGCTCAGGCGATCCACCTGCCTCGGCCTCCCAAAGTGCTTGGATTACAGGCATAAGCCACCACTCCCAGAAAAAAATATTTATCTTATAGAAGTCTTCAAAGATTGATTTTGCAAAAGTGTCTATGTGTGTTTGCTGTGTATATACAAAATCTAGTGTAGGGTCTAACATATTGTAATTCCTTTATTGTTAGTAAAGAACATGACTATTTGTTAAGAGACCACCACTCTTCCCACCAACAGGCCAGATTGCCTAAATTTTACTGATGGCTAGCTACCCAAAATGGCAAGCATAAATTACAAGGCAGACTCATGGAATGCAGGAGTTAAGCATAAATAGTTTTGCTTATTTGAGGAAATGACACCAAATACCCATGATATGTGGCAACTGGTAAGTTCAATGAGAGAAGATTCAGAGCCATGCTCTTTATGAGCTGCTGTGTGTAAGAGTCATTAAAAAAGAGAGTACTCTGGGTGCAGTGGCTCATGCCTGTAATCCCAGCACTTTGGGAGGCCAAGGCAGGTGGATTGCCTGAGGTCAGGAGTTTCAGACCAGCCTGGCTAAAAATACAAAAAATTAGCTGGGTGTGGTGGTGCATGCTCGTCGTCCCAGCTACTTAGGAGGCTGAAACAGGAGAATCGCTTGAACCCAGGAGGCGGAGGTTGCAGTGAGCCGAGATGGCACCACTGCATTCCAGCCTGGGCAACAGAGGGGGACTCCATGTCAAAAAAATAAAAAATAAAAGAGAGTAAGCCTTTGGTTTTGTTCAATGAACACAAACATCATCACACATCACAATCATTCAGCCACATTATCTGTATGCTGATTAGCTGGCAGCCAATGAGATGAGTTATCTGTGTTTCCAAAATAAAGAATATATGGTTCCTGACCTCAAGGTGCTTCCAGGTGAGTGGGTGTGACTAGGTGCTATTTATGGATAACAGAAAGCTAAAAGAAGTTTCTGTAGTTTCCAGTAATTTCTTCTACTGACCAGATAATTACATAACAACAGGTGGTGGAAGGCTCATTAATTGAGTTATTAAACATAAGACTGGGGGAGGAGGAAGATGTTTTTTCCATGACACTATAAAGGAACTTGTGGTAGGCAGAATATTGGTCTCCCCAAAATGCTCACATGTTAATCCCTGTAATCTGTGAATATACTAGATTACACAACAAAGACAAATTAAGGCTGCAGATAGAATTAAAGCTGTTAATTGTCTGATCTTAAAATAGGGAGATTATCCCATATTATTTGGGTGGCTCTAGTGTAATCACAGTCTTTAAAATTGGAAGAGGGAGACAGAACAGGAGCATCAAAGGGAGGTCTAACTCCTGAAGAATGTGTTGAGACTCAGCATCTTCAGAGAGATGAAAGACTGCTGGCTTTGAAGATGGGGGAAAGAGATCTTGAGTGAAGAAAGGTGGGTTGTTTCTAGAAGGTGGAAAAGGCAAGGAAATTGACTCTTCCCTAGAGCCACCAGAGAACACAGCATTGCTGACACTGATTATAGCCCACTGAGATTCCATTTCAGACTTGTGATCTAAAAAATACTGGCTAGCCATATGTAGAAAGCTGAAACTGGATCCCTTCCTTACACCTTATACAAAAATTAATTCAAGATGGATTAAAGACTTAAACGTTAGACCTAAAACCATAAAAACCCTAGAAGAAAACCTAGGCATTACCGTTCAGGACATAGGCATGGGCAAGGACTTCATGTCTAAAACACCAAAAGCAATGGCAACAAAAGCCAAAATTGACAAATGGGGTCTAAGTAAACTAAAGAGCTTCTGCACAACAAAAGAAACTACCATCAGAGTGAACAGGCAACCTACAAAATGGGAGAAAATTTTCGCAACCTACTCATCTGACAAAGGGCTAATATGCAGAATCTACAATGAACTCAAACAAATTTACAAGAAAAAAACAAACAACGCCATCAAAAATGGGCAAAGGACATGAACAGACACTTCTCAAAAGAAGACATTTATGCAGCCAAAAGACACATGAAAAAATGCTCATCATCACTGGCCATCAGAGAAATGCAAATCAAAACCACAATGAGATACCATCTCACACCAGTTAGAATGGCAATCATTAAAAAGTCAGGAAACAACAGGTGCTGGAGAGGATGTGGAGAAACAGGAACACTTTTACACTGTTGGTGGGACTGTAAACTAGTTCAACCATTGTGGAAGTCAGTGTGGCGATTCCTCAGGGATCTAGAACTAGAAATACCATTTGACCCAGCCATCCCATTACTGGGTATATACCCAAAGGACTGTAAATCATGTAGCTATAAAGACACATGCACACGTATGTTTATCACGGCACTATTCACAATAGCAAAGACTTGGAACCAACCCAAATGTCCAACAATGATAGACTGGATTAAGAAAATGTGACACATATACACCACGGAATACTATGCAGCCATAAAAAATGAAGAGTTCATGTCCTCTGTAGGGACATGGATGAAATTGGAAATCATCATTCTCAGTAAACTATTGCAAGGACAAAAAACCAAACACCGCATGTTCTCACTCATAGGTGGGAATTGAACAATGAGAACACATGGACACAGGAAGGGAAATATCACACTCTGGGGACTGTTGTGGGGTGGGGGGAGTGGGGAGGGATAGCATTAGGAGATATACCTAATGCTAAATGACGAGTTAATGGGTGCAGCACACCAGCATGGCACGTGTATACATATGTAACTAACCTGCACATTGTGCACATGTACCCTAAAACTTAAAGTATAATCATAATAAAATAAAAAATACTATTAATAACTTGTGTTGTTTAAGCCTCTAAATTTGTGGTAATTTGATACACCAGCAATAGAAACTAACATAGAACTATATTTTCATCCATAAGTCTGTATTTTTCCAAATTGTAATCCACTGAGTTTTATTTTGGAGTCATCTGGAAAACTTGTCCAAATACCACTTGTTCTCACTAATAAGCGGAAGCTAAACATTACACTACACTTGGAGATAAACATGGGAACAATAGACACCAAAGACTACTAGCCGGGGAGAGAAAGTTGGGGGCTGAAAAATGAATTGGGTACTATGCTTACTTCCTGGGTGCAATATACCCATGTAACATACCTACACACACTCCCCTTGTACCTAAAGTAAAAGCTGAAACTTAAAAAAAAAAAAAAATGAAGATTTTTGCTCAATCCCATTTCTATGGGATCAGAAACGCTCAGGAAAAAAACAAACAAAAAAAAAAAACAAGGGATTTTCTCTCACTTGATGCTTCTTAAGAGACTATTTGGGAACCAGTGCTCCAATTTCTTAACCTTCTTTGTGTTACAGACTCTTTTGAGAAAATCAAAGATTATGAATTCTCTCTCCTCTCAGTAAATGCACATACTGAAAACATTCTGCACACTGCCAAGATTATAATCTCTTAGTCAACTCTGCTTGCCTCCCTTAAAAGTAGTTATTGGAGAACCTGGATAAGCATATCGTCCCTGATGTTAGTGATTTTTTTTCTTATCCAGACTGTATAAGAGGGTAAGGTATAAACATTTCCATGCTAAAAAGTAATGTGAGGTTTTGTTTAAAAATAGAGGAAAATTTTAGATAAAAAGATAGCAAACACATAAATACTTTCCCTTGAAAACCTTTCATTGTTTTAGTTACTATTTAATTGTCCTTCAGGCCTAAGAAAAGCAGATTAACTGTAGAAGGTTAGGTTCCCAGGAAGCCGACTCTGGGGTAGAGATTGGAGACTAGAGAGGCTATCAGGGACTGCTCTCGGGAATAACACTGTGCCCCAAGGGAAGGGAACAAGAAAGAGCCAGCAGAGGGAGGCTACGATGCAGTCTCAGCGAAGACCTGCAGGGAGCTCTGGAAGTGGGATGGTCTTCAGAGTTATCCCAAGTTAGCGCTGGTGGAAGGAGGAATTTTACACCCCTGTGTGTCCTTTGGTGAGGTGGTTCCCCTAAGCGGAGGGTAATTCATAAGGAAGGTAGTCAGCGGCAAGCCCTCTCAGCATTTGGGAGAAGACAGTCTTCAGTTTTGAAGGGGGATTTTGGTGGCACAGGACAGAGTTCATCCTGAATGTTTCCTTACATTTATCAAGTCAAAAGTTACTGTTTTGGTTTTCAGGGTGCTTTGATGATATGTAAAGCCTTTATAAATCATTTGCAGTCAACATTTCCATCTTTCATTTAGAAAACAACTTTATCTAGGGGAAAACACACTGCATTTGGTGTAAGAAAACTAGGTTTGGATTCTTACTTAGCCACCAGTATAACCCTGTTAACTTAGAATCATAGTTCTAAGTTAACAGGGTTATACTGGTGGCTAAGTAGTTGATGTCTTTTATTTTTAATCTTCCCAATATTTCTTTTCCTTTATTCAAACAACAAGATGCCACTTTTCATTTAAGAAATAAATCTGGATGCCTCCCTTGTTTTCTACATGTGCCCAACTCTCTAGGTTGCATTGCTGGATGGTCATGTGTCCTGGGCTGGTTAGTTCGAACTCTCCATGTCCTCTGGCCTAAGTAATTTTTTAAGGGATAGTACTGACTCTACTTTGAAAACATTAAATCAATGTTTTCAGTATGCAGTGGAGCCCATAAATAACCCTCTGATTCATCCCTAAAGTTGATTTTTTCTTTGTTTTTGTGAATATGGGTAACAAATGTGTACATATCTACCTAGCATACTGGATTTAGTCATTTCCATGCTAAGATATTTTGTCAATACTTATTATGCATATCTAGGTCTCTAATTTTCAGAAACAGTTTAACAAATTACAGTGAAGACTGAAATGTGAAATATGGATAATCAGAAGAAGTGGTCTTTCTTGTGTATCACAAGTTGTCCCAATGCAGTAGTTTTGCGATTGCAGGAGCCAACATGTCTAGTGTGAAAGTAACTAAAGTGAAACAGAGGCAAGGCAGCTGTTCCCTAGACTTTCAAACTACATGAGTCAATTTTAAAAAAGCTATTTTGAAGTAAACTTCTGCTATTTGTAAGAGAAAGGGTCTTGATTAATACATTTTTTTTTAAAGCAAACATCTGATACTTTGATAAGGAAGATGAAGGCTCAGTTCCTGTCTTTGAGGTGCTTCCAGTTTAGTGGAAGAAATTAACATTTAAACAGGAAATGATATTTTAATGTGATAATGCTAATAACAACATTTATCTTGATTTTATTCTGCCATTGTTTAATAGGAAAATGGAATAAAATATTGATAGGAACTAAAAGTTGATGTCTATAACATTCTAGCAACCATCAATTTCTCAGATATCTGTATTGTGTTACTTATTTAGGCCAGTTTCCCACAACAATCCTCCAAGAGGTAGTGGCTGATTGAAGCTTAATGATTCATTTTATTAAATCACGTAAAATAATGACTTTACTATCATCTGTAAAGTAAGATTAATTTTAATCTCTCTACTAAAATGGTTTATATTAAAGTAGATTAGGGTAGGAAAAAATCCTAGGAAATATTAGAATTTAATGTATATTTCTAAACTGACCCCAAAAAAGGCTTTTAATCAGAAATATGACACGGTATTGCTCATTCCATACCAGTGGTCAGCATCTAAGCAGATATTTCTCAACATATAAAAGTGAAATTCATGAAGATAGAGAGCAGACTGGTGATGACCAGGGGCCAAGAAGGGTAGAGGGGTTAAGGGAATGGAAAGAGGTTTATTAATGGGTAAAAATATACCCTTGGAAGAAATAAGACCTGGTGTTCAATAAATCAGTAGGATGACTATAGTTAAGATCAATTGATTGTACATTTCAAAATAGCTAAAAGAAAATAATTCAAATGCTGCTATTGCAAAGATAAATATTTAAGGTGATGGATATCTCAACTACCCTGATTTGATTACATGAATTTATCAAATTATCATATGTACCCTGAAAATATGATATGTACATGTCATATGTATCAATGTTAAAAATTTAAGAAACATAAACAAATAAATCTGTTTCAAGTCTTTGCTTACCATGTGCCAAGCACTGTGAGAGGTACTTGGAAGAGAATGTTGAGCAAAACAAAAAACAGTTCTTGCCCTCATGGAGTATATTATCTATACCATCTGATGATACCACAGACTGTATTACAGATAGAGGTATCCTGCAATACTACTCATTTTCCAAACTACAGTTGCAATTTAACAAAATTTAGTGGCATTCTCTGGAATACATAAAATAGTAATTCTCAGTCTGATTATTGTTTTGAAATATCACTTTTAAAATATTGAATTCAATAGGAAAAGAGATATGTCACTAAGTTTTTGTGTCTTATTTTTTTCCTCTACTCATTTCTTCCTCCTCTGTGTAGATTAGGCACATTTAATCTTTTTAATCATGTAATACATTTTAAGACCTCACTTGGAGTAGAAAAAGGCTTCAGTACTGTATTCAGCCAGTCTTGGTGTTTCTGAAATTATGGCAGAATGCCAAGCATTAAAATTAATATTTGAAACCTTGGGCTTTTTTTAAAAATAGGAAGGAGTATGTCATACTGCTGGATATATGAGATACATCATTGAGCTGAAGAGACTTTTCCCAACACGTGAATAGCAAAACATACTTTATAAATGGCTTGCTTCCTGAGAAAATAAAACTTTTAACCATAAGCCATTTAAAAAATCTTGCTTAGAAAAAACTTCACTTCAAAAAGAATTTGAGTCATTTATTATTTTGTTGGCATTTGTGCTGCATTTTTACTTTGTATTTAAAAAATAAAGATAATTATATGCTATACTAGATTTCTGAGGTGACACGATCTGGCAACAGTGGCCCATCACTGAGATTGAATTTCTATTTGATAATAGCTTGTGATCTGAGCATGAGATCATAATATTTCAGTATAAGAGGCATCTTTACATTGATGCTGATCAATATTTGTTAAGAACATTTTACTTATGAATAAATCCAAAGCAGTAGAATATATAAATTTTACCTACTTAACATCATATATACTAATGCAAAGGAAATGGTTCAATAAGATGTTTGGATTAATTATATGCTTATTGATGCACATGGAAGTAAATGAGACAACTGAAAGCTGGAAAGTAGCCAAATGAGCAATAAACAGCTTTAAGACTGTCTAGAGAGAAAGTCAGTAATATTATAGTCATCAGACATTTGAAAACACTCTCTGGGTAATCATAAACATTTGCAATCAATTAAGAGGAATGTGTCCATTTCAAGGGTCTTGATTAAACCTACATCAAGACTACACAGAATAAACATTGTGATTCTTAGGAATGCATTCATGAGGATGGTCCTTCAATGCTCATTTCAAAAGAACACATGGCAATTAAATTGTAAGTAAAGAGTGATACGGTGAAGAGTGGTGCTTAAGTAGTTTAGATCACTAGACTATGTACTGACTCTAGTTTGAAAACATTAAATCAATGTTTTCAGTATGCAGTGGAGCCCATAAATAACCCTCTGATTCATCCATAAAGTTGATTTTTTTCTTTGTTTTTGTGCATATGGGTAACAAAAAGTGTACATATCTACCCAGCATACTGGATACAGCCATTTCCATGCTAAGATATTTTGTCAATACTTATTATGCATATCTAGGTCTCTGATTTTCAAAATTAGTTTAACAAATTACAGTGGAGATTTATATAAGGTTACCACCAACCTTGTTGCAGAATAGTAAAGGCTATCCTGAAACTATAAGAAAAATAACAGAAAGGTTAAGACCATAAAATAATTTTTAGCTGACCAAAACAAAATGAAACAAATAAATATAAACTAAACTTTCAAAGGGTATGTTCTAAAAGGGATTTTAAAATAATGAATTATAATAAAACAATTATAGTTTCCTTAATTTTTCTTATAAGTAAGATTGCTTTCAAACCAAAAAAGGAGGTACATGTGTATATGTATGCCTACCCTTCACCCTTCTACCAAAGAGTCATCATGTAACTCAGGGTGGTAACTCAGAGCCCTCCATATACTTGACCAAATTATTTGGTTTAAGAATGGAAAAGGACCCAAACAACATGTAGTATTTGATGTATGGATAAAAATCCCTATGTGTATCATACACACACACACACACACACACACACACACACACACACAGGAAATGATCTTTCTTTAATACAATCATCTGTCAGGATATGCTTTAGGTCACCAGAGTCTGCTAACTTGACTGAGAATGAAGCCAACACATGAATAGAAGTAGAGGTGAGGATATGGTAAGAGAATAACTATTTTCATTAAGTTCATGTACCTGCATCATTATCATAATAAACTGTTTAGCTCCCTGTCATTGAAGTAGCCCTCCAATCTCTACAGCTGAATCCATTCTAATAGATCTACCAATATATCCATCCCAATATTGGGTTGTTATTGTTACTAGGCAAGGAAACTTAAATAACTCAAGTAGCTCATTTGATGAAGAGCACATTATCAACCTTACTGTTTGCTTCATTCTAGTAAATCAGTTCTACCCAGCTTTTCCAGCCCTGAAATTTAATGTTTCTCTCATCAGTACTCTCAAAAGAGAATAATTCCATTAAAACAATTTACCTACTATTTTTCTATTCTGACGAGCACCTCCTCTTATAACTTTCTGGTTTCTGTATTATTTCAGTTGCAAGACTCTTTTATTATGGCATCTAGCCATTGTCAGATATATCTGTCTTAATTCTTTGCTTAGACCTCTCTGATGGTGAGTCTGCCTGGAACGACTGCCAATTGCCTTTAATGAGCCTCTTTCAATACCATAATCCACCTGTTTGACAATGCCTCCTCTTGGAAGGCATTTGGTTGAAATCATGACTAGCATGTTAAGCCAATTGAGAACAATGCAAAATTGGAAGGGTTGGTCAATATCATTAACACAATGAAGGTAAAACATAAAATTGAAAAGCAAAAATTATGATAAAGAAAACACAGTACAAGTGCTTTGTATTTTAAAAAGAGGTAAATATCTCACATCTCTCTACAGCAACAAGACAACACGTGGCATATTTTGTAATCAGTAAATATGTCAGGTCTTATCTTCTCATACAGAGAGATGGAAAAACTAGAATAGCAAGGGATAAAGCCACTTAGAAAGGTGAGATATCTGAAATTAACATCAAATTCAAAAATGGTAAACTGCTTGTGGTGCTTATGCAGTAGACATCTAGGGTAAGTTTAGAGAGGTATCATTTTATTTACTTATTGATAAACGACTATAAGCAAAACAGACTACTTATTTAATATTATTCCAGAAAATGGCTCATTTTGATCAATGTGTGTGTTTTCAGTTTCATATGTACTTTTTGACAACTAGAAATGTCCAATGTCTAAAAATGAAAAAAGCTGCATCAAAAAGTAACGAATTCTGCATCGCTTGGAGTCTTTCTGGCAGGGGAAACAGAACTGTCAATCAAAGATGTGGAAGAAGAGACCTGTTGAAATTTGCTGTTTCCAGATGCCTCATCAAGGAACAAAGCTGGCTTATCAGAAGCACCTGTGGAGTTTTAAATATATATATATGTTGCTATGCACCCTGCAAAATTTTGATTGAATGGTTTTGGAATGAGGCCCAGGCATTCCAATTACTAAAAAGCTCTTCTAGAGATTCTAATATACTTTCAAATTTGGGTTCCCAGTGGCCACCAAATTAAATTCTCACCTTTTTTTTATGACTCAGTAATCTCTAAATCATCATGATTCAATTATGTGTTTAGTTTAAAATTATGATATTTCTGTAAATTGTTTTTTTTTCCTTTTTCCTTTCCTTTACCTTTTTTGTCTTCAAATATTTGATGGGTTGTTCTATATTGTAATTTTTTATTGAAGTTTAATTTACATATAATAAACAGATCTTAAATGCTTAACAGATTGTTTATTGTATTCCACTGTTACTATCACTCAAAACAAGATAATGGATATTTCCATTACCACTAAAAGTTATTTTGTGTCGCTTTCCAGACAATCTACCCCAGACACATAGATGTGACCACTGTCTGATTTTGACCACGATAGCTTAGTTTTGTATTTACTGGACTTAAAATATATGGAATCATACAGTATTACTCATTTATAAATGTGAGTCTTTTCTCACTTAACTCAGTGTTTCTTCATATTTCAATAGTTCATTACTTATTTTGCTCAATAGTATTCTACTGTATGAAAATTAATTTAACCATTCTCAAAATGATGGGCATTAGAGTTGCTTCCAGTTTTGGATATGAGGAATAATGCTGCTATGAATATTCTTGTACAAGAATTCGTGTGGCTATACATTCTCATTTTTCTGGAGTGAAATAGGTGAGGTATACAAGGTAAGTAGATATTTAACTTGGTAAAAAATTGCCAAACAGCTCTCCTAAGTGGCTGTATGTTTTACATTCCAACCAGCAAAGTATCAGAGGTGCAATTGGATTGTCAGTCTTTGCCTTCAGCCAATCTAGTGGATGCAGATTGGCATCTCCTTGTAATTTAAATTTGCATTTTTCTGTGGACTAATAAAGTTGCACAGTTTATTTGCCATTTATATATCTTCTTATGTGAATGGTCTGGACAAGGCTTTCACCCATTTAAAATTGTTTTTGGTTTCATACTGGTGCTTTTTAAGAGTTTTTAAATATGTGTATTCTTTGAACACTTTACATATTTCACATATTTATACGTTTTTCGGATCTATGTTTTAGAATTTATTGCACAGTTCATAGTTTGTCTATTTCTTAATGTTGTATGTTAATGAGCAGAACGTTTTAATTTTGAGAAAGTCCAAAATGTTCTTTTTGGTACCTAAGAAATCTTTATATATCCTGAAGTTATGAAGATAATGTCTTATGTTTTCCTCTAAAAGAGTTCTAATTCTAAGGTTTTAGTTTTAGTATGTGATAAATCTTGAATTAATTTTTGTGTGTAGTGAGAGATGAGAGTAAAATTTATTTTTGTTTTGATTCCATACAGGGACCCAATTGGTTCAGCAATGTTGCTTAAACATTTCACCACTGAATTGATTGGCATGTTGGTTAACAATCAACCCCACTCTATGCCTGTGGGTTGATTTCTGGACTCCTAATTATGTCCCATGAATCTATTTGTCAATCCTTATGCCAATATCAAAAAAGCCTTGAAGTCAGGTAAAATATTTCATCCAATCTTTTTCTTTGCTCTTTCAATTGTTGCGGCTATATAAGATCTTTACACAATGTTAGGATCAGCTTATCAATTTCTTCAAAAGGCTCTAAAAACAATTTAAAAATTTAAGATTTTTGATTATTAAATCTATAAATCAATTTATGAAAAATGGATATCTTAAGACTAAAATTTGAAAATCATGAACATATATCTCTCCATTATTTAGTTCTTCTTTAAATACTCTTGGTCAATGTTTCATAATTTTTAGCGTAAATGTCTTGCAAAATTTTGCAGATTTATTTCTGGGTATTTGATATTATGTTTTATTTCAGGTTTAATTTTTTATTGCTATTAGAAAGAAATACAATTACTTGCGAATATAGGCTATAAGCTTACTAATTAAATTATAAGTTTTAGATTTCATAGGATTTTCTATGTGCATTATTATGTATTGAGAAATAAAGACATATTTGCTTCTTCCTTTTCAAATTCTTTGTGTTTTATTCTTTGCTTTATTTCAGTGTTAGAATTTCCAGTAGAATATTTTTTGTGTGTGGAGGATATGTATTCTTTTTAATTTCTGATACTGGCAAATTTTGTTTTCTGTGTGTATTTTTTAAAAATGGTCTTGCTGGAGTTGAACAATGAGAATACATGGACACAAGGAGGGGAACATCATAAACCGGGGCCTGTCAGGGCGTGGAGGGCTAGGGGAGGGATAGCATTAGGAGAAATACCTAATGTAGATGATGGGTCGATGGGCGCAACAAACCACCATGATACATGTATACCTATGTAACAAACCTGCACATTCTGCACATGTGTCCCAGAACTTGAAGTATAATCTTAAAAAAAAATTAAAAATGGTCTTGCTAGTGTTTTATCAAAATATTTCCTAAAAATTAATAATTTTAGACTTTGTTAACTTTCTCATTTTGTTTTCTGTTTTATTTCCATTTATTTTTATTTTCTTACACTTTGTGTTTAATATAGTCTTATTTTGTTATATTCTAAAGGTAGAAGTTTAATTTCTTGCTATTTAAGCTTTTCTTTTTTCAAATACCAACATCAACTTGATTAATTAATTAATTAATTTGCTTATTTATTTATTTGTAGTTACTTATGCTTGGGGCTCAGTGAATTGATGTCTTTAATTCAATTTTGGCTAATTATCAGTCATTTTCTCTTCACATTTATCTTTGTTTTCCCATCTTCACTCTTTTCTACATAGATACTAATTAGGTTTAATCTTAGTGTAAGTAGGAGTCCTGTTTCTCATGCATGTAAATGTAACTGTGAGGAAGACTGATGTTTAGGATTCCTTCCCCCAATCATCTATGCACACACTCTCCAGATACTAATTCAATATCCAGCCTTCAGATTGTCGCCTTTCATTAAAATTATATTACCTATTTATGGTATTGATTTTTTTCAGCTGTTAATTTCTCATTATCAATGAAGAGTTATTCTGGTTACATTAGCAAGGCTGCATTATAACTATGCAGAGAGAATACTGGACTGAGTGCCATAGTAAACAAAACAAAACAAAATTAACCAAAATAAAGAATGACTTTTTTTTAGTCTCTTAGCTTTAATCTCCATATGCATATAAAATGTATTTCAAAATTTTCCAGGTGTCCTTAAAATATTTATCTTTTTCATAGCAAATCAAAAAGCAGGCAAAAGTAGTATTTTAAACATACTGCACTCCTTGAGAAGGCAGAATGAAAATCAGCTTGCTTTTCAAGTCATGAAGTATAAATTCAACTAGCATTTATTCCAACCAATTTTTAAAGAACCTTAATAGAAAGCAAATAAACACCCTTTTTTTCCTGAAGCAAGTGCCACTCAAGGTTTTAACACAAACACAATCATTCTTCAACGCTTGGAAATATTGGAAGGCCTTTTTTCTATAATATTCATACAGAGATATTCCTTCAACTATCAAAGTTAAAAAAATAAAAAGTGAAAGAATCAGTCTGAGCTGAAATAAATGGTGTTACCCATGAAGATATAGAGCTTGGAGTAGACCAAAACCAGATTTGCTTGGTTGAACTTGATAGTAGCTACTTGAAACAGAAAGTGCCTTGCTTATTGCTGTACAATAGGTCTCTGGATCCACAATCCCTTCCCCTCCTTTCCCCTTTTCCCTGGCATTAGCTGCCTTAAAAGAAGGATTCTTGCCATAAGAGAGACTAAACACCCTAGGCACGTATCAATATTCTGAGAAATCTTGGGGAAGGGAGGGACTCAGACTTCTATGGCTTTGTCGGATATAGCACCTATCCAGCCCTGGGGGAAGAGGGGAAAATGCTCAGATTCAACTATTTGGTGGGGGTTTCAGTGGGAGAGGGAAAGGCACGTGACATGTAGCTGGGTTCCTTTATACCAACTTAATATACTGTTGTTGCTTCCTACATTGAGTATATAATTGGAATTCATGTGTTATATGCTTCTAATTTCCTACTTCACAAATATTCAAGGAGATTTTCCTTATTGGGAATAATGTCACATAGAGACATGCTTCTTCTCTCCCCAGAAAGAGATCCCTATCGCTATGTTGGACTCTGGGCATTTCTGACTCTGACTAATGACTATGCCAGTTGGGACCTCTGCTGAAGAGAAGAAGCCCCTCCTAGAGACTCACTTTGGGATTATGGACTTGGTGCTCCCCAAATATGGCTACCAGGTACATCCATTTTGAAAAGCAGCTATTAGCTTTCTAATGGACTCTTAACTGAAACCGAAAGCCTGATCTATGAATGACCTGACATTCCTATCTTGAGGAGGGTCACTTCGAATTCAGCAACTAGTAATATGTGCAGGGGCCAACAAGCATGCACATCAAAATCAAATTCTTCCTTTAGAAGACTTTACCTCCTGAAGCTAAGTGCTGACTCTAAAGGGCCGTGAGATGCAGAAGTTCCATAAACAAATGGTGATGACTTTGCTGACCTGAAATCTGAAAGTGTTCGTTGTAGTTTGCTTAGGTCATTCAAGCTCAGCACCTGCTATGCAGTACTGAAAATGGACATGCTTACTCTGCTAAGTGGGCAGAACTGAAGCCTGTTCTCATAGCTCTGTACAATACTCTCCTCCATGGTACACATATATATGTGTGTGTGTGTGTTTGTGTGTGTATGTATATATGTATATATACACATTATGACTGCTGATCTGTTGTCAACAGCTTAGTGGTTTGGTATGCCACTTAGAGAACTACAGAGTAGTAACATTAAAGATACCACTCTTTGGAGCTGTGAATTGTGGAAGTATATCAAGATTACATCAGGGTTACTCATGGAGAAACCCATAGTGAAAGTCCATTAACTGATCAGATCAACTGGACTCAAGCTGATTATTGAGACAGACACACAGATTGCCACCATTGCTGCCTGACATGATCTACCATTTACCGTGTCTACCATTCACAGATGGGACACAAAGCAAATAACTTCTGTTACCAGGGCCTGCACTGTATGCAATACTTGTGATTCCTGCTGAAAGTTGACCCCTTGTATCCTAGTAGGGAAAGCCAAAGAGGGTTGTCCACTCCCACTGCAAGCACATTGACTATTTTGGCCTCTGATCACTTCTTAGGACTGCCTGAAAGTGTTGTAGATACTTTTTTAGGTCGTGTTATTATTGTTCCAGTCTGATCAGCTGATGTAGACACTACTTTAGAAGCTCTTAAAATTAATCTGCGTCATGTTTTCAGCTCACTGGACCATTTTCAGCCTGACAAATGTATGCAAAAGATGCTCAACAATGGCCTGGTAGTCAAGGAACTCAGCGTATCTTCCTCGCTCTCTACCATCAACAGACTTCCAGTGTTGTTGAGTGTTGAAACAATCTCCTCAAATGTTGACTTCAAAAGATGTCCAGCTTTATCTTCTTCACCTTTTCCTGGCTCATATACCTTAGTGAGGCTGCTTGTTCACTTTATGAATATGTTCCAAGAAAGAAATAATATCATCTTGGGTGATTTCTGTGCAATGATCAACATGAAAGTCGTGTGGGATTACCTACACCTACTTTTAATTTCAAAATTTCATTCTGACCTTTTCTGGGCAAAACACTTCTTTCTTTTTCCCCAGAGCAGCCTGTGTGGCAGCCTTGCCTAAACGGAGCTTATGGGATTTGGACTCAATTATGTTTCAGTCTCCTGGAGTTTCTTGTTTTATTGATATGATTCTGGATCATAAGGATAATGAGCACTTTGTGAGGACACAGCTTGTTCATGCAGGCCAAAGTGGGGGACACAATCAGTCTCTGTAAGTTTTATAAAAATGTCCTTGTAGCTCTTGCACCATTTTTTATAAAAAGTCTATGTGCAAACAGGAAATAATTGAGAAAAAAGATGACATCACAGTTATTAGGATGAAATACACCAATTTGCTGGAGGTAGAGGGAGAGCACCAAATAAGAAGGGAACATTCACAGACCCCTACAATTATGGGGAAAGGACAGATGTTAATGATATTTGTCTTTCAAAATGACTTCTGGAGTATTCTCCATGAAAGAAAACTCTCTGGTACAGAACATCCAAACTAGGATAAGTGTCTTAAACTTCACTGACTGTTGGACTTGCCTTTTCTTACCAGATGGCTCTATTCACGACTTGATCGCCATTCTTTTATTCTTAGAAATAAGTCTACTGAAAATAGCACAGGATGCATCTGCCACTCCTATGCAGAATGCTTGTCAATACCTCTAAATACCTTCTCTGCCACTATTCTCACTCATTACATCGGGTGGTAATAAAGCCACTAAACTGATGGCATAAAACAAGGATTGGTAAACAATCCTTAAAGGGCTAGATAATAATATGTCAGGGTTATTTAGGTTATATTGCTTTTGTTACAAGTGCAGGACTCTGCTACTGTAGCTTAAAAGCAGCCAAACAAAAGGCAAATAAATGAACATGGCTGAGTTCCAATGGAATTTTATTTACAAAAAGAGATTTCAAGCCCAACAGTAGTTTGCTGACCCCTGGAGTAGACAATGAGGACGGACCTAATCAACTACTCTCACAAAGTCTCTCTTAAACAAGAACTGGACTGAATTATTCTAGTAATTGAGAACACCTGGCGTTACCAGAGGGCGAGGAGGTCACATAGGAGGTAATATTTGTTTGTCTTCCACCCAGCGGGTTCCTGAAATTGGGCCTAACCCTTCCCTCCACCAACTCAGGCAAACCAGGCCCACTTCCAGTACTATAACTTTTGTATGAAGATTACCACCCTTCTGAAGACACATGATTTGAACATTAGGGTAGCCATAAGAAATTTTCAACTGTTTAAGTAAAGATCAGCAGAAGATAATATAGTACACTAATGAGATCTCTCCAAAGTGAGGCTACCTTTATTTATTTATGGGAGCTACATGGAGCAATATCTGTGAATCCTGTGGGCAGTTTATCCTACTATGGGATTCATCCATTATAAATTTTTTCCCTGAATTTCACTGAAGCAATCAATGGCACCACTTCAGCTCTGGAATTCATTCAGGTCAGCTTCAACTCACTGGCCAGGGTATTTATAGGTGATAGGTTTTGCCTATGGGCAATGGTGGAATCTTTGTAACCACAAATAAATCCTTTTGTATCTAAATTAATGCTTCTCGCCAAGTGGAAAGGTTTATGCAGAAACTTAAGGAGAGAGCCGCCTGGCTTTTTAAAGTAAACTTCAGTGGTTCATAGTATTTGTTCAGCTGACTGGGTCCAGGACCCTGGTGGGCATGGTTGAGATCAATCCTGCTCATTAAAGTCCTGTTTATAGTCTCTTTAAATAAATACAGATGAGAAAAACTGAATGGATTTGATCGCAATCCCCACCATTCAGATTAACTAGAGGAGTGGCAATCTCACGGGGGAAATTTACTATTAGCCAACAACGTTGTAGAAAGAATGTGACTATTACATTATTGGGAGACAATTCTCCATAGGTCTCCTGTGTTACTACACATTTTGAAAACAGGAATTCTTATTAGGGAACAAGACACATGGATTCCCCAAGCTCAGGGTTTCTCAGCTGCCATACAAGCCCATTACACATAGGGTATTCACTTGAACTGCTCCACATTGTTTTGTGGAACTTGAGGGCAACAGAAACAGACATTACTATGAGGGTCATGCTGCTTGCTGTACCATGAGTAATAAAGTCTCTCTATACAATCTAAAAGCCTAGTATTTTCCACCAGCATCCATGAAAGTGATGCAGGCTAACTTGCTAGCTTGCAAATAGGATAAAATTCCCAACCTTTTACAATTTCTGACAGCATTACATCACAAAAGTTAGCTGTAAGATATCCCGGGACTACAGATTTTCAGCCAGGAATATTGCACTCTCAAATTTGGTATTCTATTTGCAAAGAAAAAAGAACAGTTATTGAGCCAGGCAGGTAAACAAAGTTTGAGAGCCATCAGAGTTTACCTTAAAAAGCCAGGTGGCTTTCTCAAATTTCTGCATAAACCTTTACTGGGCCAGAAGCATTAATCCGACAAAAAAATGATTTATTTGAGGTTGCAATATTTCTACTTTTGCCCACAAGGAGAAGGCAGCTATTTCTGTTACAGATAGGTCAGCCTGTTTTGTCCCAATGACTTTCTCATTTCCATGCTTTCAATAATAAGTAAACCTTCCTAATTGACATATAGTATTTTCCCTTGGCATTAGTATGTTGGAATTCTGAGGGCTTGAAGTCACTTTACTGAAAATGATTCTATGTAATTTATACACTTACTTTTTATTTCACAATCTGTTGGAAATTAATCTTATTCTTATATCTATAATGTTAAAATACCTTCATGGCTGAAAGCAAGGACAGGAAGAGATCATTCATATTTGAATTGGGGCTTCTCCACTTACTGGAAGTTACCTGACCTCCCACTACTTCAGCTTTTTCATTTGTAAAAATAATAATAATAAAATAATAACTACTACAAAGGGCTATTATGAGGAGTAAACGAGATAATACATGTAAAACACTTAGAACAGAGGCTGGATATAGTAAATGTTCTCTATTAGATTAGCCCTTATTATTACATTCTTGGGTGATAGTTTATTGCAACCCCTTTATACTGATAAATGATTAAGATCATAGGCTCTGTCAGACGTTAAATCTCTGATCTGATACTTCCTAGTTATGTTTTTTGTGAACAAGTTACCTATCACTTGTTCCTGTCTCCCTATTTGTAAAATTGTGACAGTAAAGTTCTTACTTCACAGAGCTACTGAGAAGATCAAATGACATGATATCTCATTCTAGTGTCTGACAAATTAAAATGCTCAGAGATATTATTTTTAATATCTTAATTGCTGCAATATTTGATCACACTGTCTATTGGTAGGGGGGCTGTTTCTCACATATTTTTGCCTCTTGAAATACTATTAACTTCCATAATCAAGAGTGAAGTCATTCCATAAAGCCTTCTTCAATCACTGGTGCCAAAATTAAATACTTCTTTACACACCAGTAGAACTGAGTTTACATCATTCATAACACTTAATCCACTATTTTCTCTATTAAGAAAGACACATCTGTTGTTAACTGTAAGCTTATTAAAGACTAAGACTATGTTTTGTAATACTTTTTATCTCATAGTTTGCATTGCACTGAGCAAGTGAGCAATGAATATTTCCAGAAGGACATATTTTTAAAAGCTGAACACTTCCTAACCTATTTTCAAGCATTTTAAAATGTGTCTTGAATCAATCCATTCAAATAAAGTTTCCACATTTTTTTCATCTTTTCATCTGTTGACTTAGAAGCAAAGATATCAGTTTTCTTTGTTAAGGAATTTAAAGTAGACATTTATATTTTGCCCTTAATTATAATTAACTGCTTTTGAAAAGGAGGTTTCTCTAATTAACTTGATATAGAAGTCTAAATCTTTTTAAAAAGTATATATTTTTTTCTATACAAAATACATTTTCAATAACATTTGGCCCCAGGAAGCTGCCTAATTCCATCCATAGATTCCATCCATAGTTAATCCATTTCTTAATGAAAGCAATTCTTCATAACCAAGATAAAAGTCACATACAATTCCAATGTTTGAACTTAAAATGATGACACTGATGAATGGATAAGTAAATACAAGTAGCCCTCTTCAAAGTACAAGGTATTTGGATAGCTTGATGTTTATTTTGGACTCTAGTCCAATGCTTTACTTGCAAGATTAATTGTAAGTATTAAAGGGAAATTTTCTTTCATTAAACAAGGGCATTACTGGAGATAATGTTAGTGATAGAAGCAGAAATATTTTTCATAAATTATTAAGCTAAATAAGTGAAAAAGCAAGTTTATCCCAAAAATAAAATTCCTAAAGCAAACCTCAGATCTAACAAATGACCCAGTCATATATTACATAATTATTCCATCTTATTTACTCAAATAAAAACTCAGGAGAAAAGAATAAGAAATTTCAAATATGCATAAATGATTCTGTGACTATATATTTATTTAGTATATATTTTCAAAATATAGTTATCTCACCCGTAATAAAAATGTCTTCTTTTATACAAATTACCTGACTATAATATATGTAGGACTTGGAAACAAACTAACAAGGAATTTTCTTTCTTCATGGTCATTTATAATGAAAGAGTAATATTCTTGTTTTAATGTTGAGAAAATGCCTTAATCAAAAGTTCCTTTTCTGTTCTAAATCCCAGCACTTTGGGAGGCCGAGGTGGGTGGATCACGATGTCAGGAGATCGAGACCATCCTGGCTAACACGTTGAAACCCCATCTCTACTAAAAATACAAAAAAAAAACAATAGCTAGGCGTGTTGGCACGTGCCTGTAGTCCCAGCTACTTGGGAGGCTGAGGCAGAAGACTCTCTTGAACCCAGGAGGTGGAGGTTGCAGTGAGCCGAGATTGTGACACTGCACTCCAGCCTGGGCAACAGAGGAAGACTCCATCTCAAAAAATAAATAAATAAATAAATAAATAAATAAATCACTTTCATAGTACTAACTGAAAATTGTTCTCCCCGCTTAAATAAAGTTACTGTTTTTAAATTTATTATTTCAATATATGTTTGATCAGAGGTCATAAGAATATCATTTAAGTAAAAAAAGAAAATACCATTTAAGTTATAAAGGCCACAAATAATCTGACTGTAAGAAAATCAACAGTCTTATTCAGCATGTTGATTCCAAAGAGTTTATTATGTTCACTAAATAATCCTATCAGGGAATTTCAGGCTTGTGTTGAGTTCAATCCTTACTTTAACTGATGAGCCAATTATTTTTAATATCCTTTTTGTTTATTTTATTCATTTCAGTCTCTTAGACTTTGTTCTGTGACCCCTTAATAACGTGAATTAAGCAACAAAAATAAGGATTTCCGTCTTGGAGACAAAGGAGTGTGTTTCCAGAGAGTGCCACAGACTTTGGCTGAAGCCTACCCACCAAGTTTAATAAGACTCTGGCTGCCAAAACCCCATGCAACCATTGAATATTTAGGGCTAAATGTAACTGCCACTTGCTCTCCCTCCCTGAGAGTCCACAGGAGCTCTTTCTTATTTGTTGATTCCTAGATTTCTGCCAACTTGTTTGTTCTCAATTCTATTGATGGCACTTTCTGGACGACTCTTGTGTAACTGTTCTCCAATATCGTTCACATTGCTGGGTAGCTTAGGACAAGAAAGCATTTTTTAAGATGTTTATTTACTTATTTGCAAAGAAAAATAAGTTATGCTACAGAGAGTGAAATCCTCTCTGACTTTCTTTTCAGAAAACTGTAAAAACTGAACCCATTCCTACTGAACAGGAAATTTTTCCAAGACTCCTTCTCAAGACATAACCTCTAAGAAAACACATGTTTCAAAATAGGCATTCTTTATCAAGATCTGTTCATTTCCCCTCATTTGATCATACTCATCTCTATTTTATTTCTGCCACAAATAAGAGGGAATCTATAGATTAAGATATTGGGGATCGGTCAGTTAGAAAAAAGGTAGATAAATTCAGAAAAAATAAATGTAAACAAAAATATTATTTTGTTTAGTTGTTAATGAAGTACCAGTAAATATACTGAGACAAAGCATTTTATTCTCAAATTATGATAAATTTAGGGACAATGCTTTGTGTTTTACCTTGGAAGATTAAAGAATTTTTTTTTTACTACTTAGTACTTTTGTGAGACTTCCTACTGTAGACAACATATAATATGAACTGTATGGTGATATAATTTTAGTGACTCCAAGGAGTTAAGTACTGAGTAGGTATTAAAGTCTACACAAGGGTGTAAGCAAGATTTTTCAGATTTCATTTAGCCAAATAATAGAAAGAGGTAAATTTTCAGTGTTCTAGGGTTATCCAATATGATCTTCTGCATTATAGAGAGGTATACATTTTTTTGAAAGGGAAGAAAGACGGTGTTGTTTTTATGACTAAATTCCCATTAGTTGAAAAATCAAGATGTATTGGAATCAGATTCTCTCTAGAAACATTTGTAAACTAAGCATTAAGTAGGTACAGGTATTTATATTTAAAGTTGACTTTATACCAAAATGTTGGACTTAAATACATTAACACAATTTTCAGTTGTTGCTATGTTTATAAGAAAAATATGACAAGACAAGAAAACCACAAATAACAATGAGTAAGACCCTTGAAACTTTTAAGATTTAATGAATTTGCTTCTCATGCAAATATCAGCTTACAAAACCTAAACAAATTATAAACACTTACCGTATTCACTATCATAGAATATAATGAATTTCTGCCAGGCATACTCTGTGACCACTCTTAGGATAACATCATGCAAGTAGACAGGTGGGCGAACTGAGAGAGTGTAGTCATCATTCCTGTTGCTCCGGGTGAGTCCACAGCCACTCCTTGGGGTCCCAGCTGTTGAGCGCTGAATGAAGAGGTGGGGGATATGCATGGCGTCTGCCAAAGACTGGAGGGATCCTGCTGACGTGCAGCCAATGGAGCTGACCAGGGCCAAGATGCCTTGATTCATAAGTTCACAGGCTGCAAGAAAGCACAGTAATATTCAAAATGTCAGTGGGTTTCACATAGTTTTCCCTTTTTGAGAAGCACTGGATGGATAAAGCTTACAGATTTTTTATATAGCTATGAAAATGTTTTAGAAAGGAACATTCGATATGAGGAGATCCTCAAATTACAAAGCACTATTGGTATTCCAAGAATTCTGCTCTTATTATCTATGCGACCTTGTGCAAATCACTTGGCTTCTCTTGGCTCGGTTTCATCATCTGTAAAGAGGGTAAAATAGCATGAATCTCGCAGGATTATTGCAAGGATTAGAGAAAACAGTGTCTGTTATTTGCCTCTCACATGATAGATATTCAATTAGTGGTAGATAAACTTTTGTAATTATCAATTTATAATTCAGAGAAAAGATAATTCCCTACTGAAGGCATAATACAAGGTTTCAAAAAGTAGATAATATGTAAACCGGTGAATAAACAGAAAGATGAAGGTTTGGAGAAAAGCATTTCTGGCCACTGAAAACAGAATGATTCTGATATCTAAAAACTTGATGACATTGCCCCTTTCCATAAACTGGAGAAACAAAAATGTTTTTGTTATTTTCCTTGACAGTAAGAAAGCTTATGGTCAAATCAAATAATTTCAAATACTACATTGTAGCCAGTGTCTCATTCTGGTTCCTAGATCAACAATTTATAATTCCTATTATATGGTTACAATCTATTTTTATTTCACTTTAACTCTTCTATGTGCATACCTCAAAATGTACTTAAAACTAGATCAAATATAAATTATAAGTAAATGTAAAGAAATTGTATACACAGAAAAAAGAGTGAAGAGGTAATGTTTCATAATGGCAAACTTTGAAGATAAAAAATTAAAAATAAGTTCAAAAATCAGTGAAGAAATCAATGAAAAAATTATTTTCATTTTATAACTGGTTCAGCCTTATTTTAGATTTTAGGCATTCTAGGTATAACATTCTTAAGATTCAAAATTTATTATAAATTGTTTTACATAGTTCTTTAAAAACTTAAAGGAAAACTTAATGGTAAGTTCTTGTATATAATTAACTGGCCAGTTAATGAAGGCTGATTTAAAGTGCAAGCTTAAAAGTGCTGTACTAATGATAAGCATATCATCATCAAATAAATTTATTATTATTAATTTATTAATGCTAAGCCAACCAATACATGCAAAATAATGAATAATTATTTGAGACATATTTTTCAAGCATTGCCTCATGAAAGAGATTATACTGATTTCCAATAAATGTGAAAGCATCAAGGATGTATTTTTTTTTTTTTTTTTTTTTTTGAGATGGAGTCTCCCTCTGTTGCCCAGACTGGAGTGCAGTGGTGTGATCTTGGCTCACAGCAACTTCCGCATCCTGGGTTCAAGTGATTCTCCTGCCTCAGCCTCCTGAGTAGGTGGGATTACAGGCCTGTGCCACCAAGCCCAGCTGATTTTTTTGTGTGTTTTTAGTAGAGACGGAGTTTCACCATGTTGGTCAGGCTGGTCTGGAACTCCTGATGTTGTGATCCACCTGCCTCGGCCTCCAAAGTGATGAGATTACAGGTGTGAGCCACCGTGCCTGGCCTGGATGGATGCTTCTTAGACCATAACATTGTGAGGTCTAATTTTAGCAAAAATCATATGTTCTAGTCATGTTCATGAATTCAATTTTCATAGAAAATAATATAAGTGTATACTTATAATTTCAATGAATTAATGCAAAAAGAGTAGTCAAATTTTTATTTCATTATTTTGGTATATATGACCATTAATGATTTATATAAGCAAATAGTAAGTAGTAAGTCACTTTTTAGAAGAGATTTTGGTTTGTAGCATTTAAAATCAAAATAAGAAAGTGCCTTAAGGGGTACACAGTTGGAGTCAATCTTTAGATTACACTAATTACAGGAAATTAAGTAAATATAATATTTTACATACTTCTACCACAAAATTTATACAGTTATAAACATTGAAATTTGGGGAAAAATTTACTTTCAATATTATATTCTGTCACATGTAACATGACAGGAAAATTGTCTGTTTTAGTCTTCAGATTTAGAAGGATATATTCCAAAATGAAAAGTCATATATTAATCTTGCTTAGTAGATACATTTGCTTTAGCATAAAATCTTGTTTCTTCCAACCCACTGTTACTTCCTATTAAACACGAACTAAGCAGATACTAAAACCAGTTAATTTTGTATACAAAAACTTTGTTTTTGGATTACTGTTTGGTATTGCCTATCGTGCTATTCATATTAGCAAGAATAACTGAAATTTTCCTACAAAATCAAAATCGGAATAATCAAAAATTGCAGCCAGAAAGCATATAATGTCAGGCCTAAAAGATAATTTAGAGATCGTGCAGTCCAAGGATGGGAAATTGGCTTTACCTGCTGTGCTTTTGATGACTTGTTGGTAAATTGGCATCCTGGAACACTATTTTGAGAGTTTGAGACTCAATAAGAAAAAGTACCAAAATCATTTTGTCAGGTTTCTCATAGAGAGTGGGAGAGTGGTGGCCTGCAAGTTATAAATGCGCATCCCTCTGAGAGGGCCCAATCCTTTATTGTCAAGAAATCACAAATGCACCCACTTAAAAAACAAAATAGATGACCCAGCTCTCTAACCAATCATCCTTTTCACCACAACAAGCAAACAATGGAGTCTTGTAGTTGTATCCTTAAAATTTTGCATAGCGAAGTAAAGATAAAGCTCTAAATAGGGGAAAGCTCAATTTGAGATTGTTTTATTGTCAAGTTTGTTGAAAGGAGGTAGTCCCACTGAAGAGGAAAGGAAGAGCTCACACAAGTAAAATGAATTGGGACTGGATGACTCAAAACAAAGCCGCAGTTGTGCACATATAAGAACGGGCCTCCACAGCAACCTGCCATTTCCCCTTCAAGGCTGTATTTGATGCCCATTTGGCCCTATTTTACCAAAACAAAATGTCGGTTGAAGCATGGCAGATAGAAATTGATTTGCTTTGGATCTACAGGGCCCTAGATGAAGGTTAGTATAAAAATAGGCTATAACTCATGGCAGCTGAAGGGAGATTTCAGGAAATAAAAGGCTGCAGTAAGAACAGAAGCAAAGCTTAGCAACGCAGACTACCTTTTGCAAGAATTTCATGTCTTGACAATTAAGAGACTATTATTATGAGTTGCAGTTTCATAGAATGCATAGTCAGTTCATTTGATATAGTATGAGAACTGAATTTGAAAGATCAGAACGTGTATTTATCAACTATTTTAAATTAAAATAATCTAAACCTATGACATCTCAATGGCATAGTTCTTTATTATTATTTCAAGCCTTGTGATTTATTTATACTATATATGCACATATACGTAAACATCTATACATACAGATCATATTGAAAAGCTTGCTGGTTTTATGACTCCAGTTGTTTGAGATTCTGTCACTACCAAAGATGTTTGGAGCCTGCACTAACTGCCAAAAGCACAACTATTATTTTTATTATTTTTAATAGCAATTGCAACACTTTTGCCCTTTGTGGTCACTCTGCAGTTATGGAATTTAATTCTGCTCTATAAATGTATCCATTTAAGCTAAGATATATTCATGTACACTAACATTTTCATTTCTTAAGCTAAATATTTTGAGTCTTTGTTTTCTTACTAAGTAAAACAAGATTAAAAATAAAATGCATAAAGAGTTAAAAAATTTATTACCTCTTACTGAAAATGAGAACTCAGTGAAATATTTTTTGGTAGCATCATCCTTTTTGAACATATATCTTCTTTGTGATCTTTTTTTTCTGACTTATTTATATTTACCAATTTGTCCCGATATAACTTCCTCCGGTGATTTTAAGACACATCAGGACTTTAGCACATTACATCATACACTGCTGTGGTTGGAATGTGTCCCCCAAAGTTGAAATATTGAAAACTCGATCCCCAATGTGTTGGTGTTGGGAGGTGGAACCTAATGTGATGTGTTTGGGTCATGGGGGCACTACCTTTCTGAATGAATTAATGCTATTATAGCAAGAGTGGGCTCCTTATCAAAAGACAGGTTTGGCCTCCCCTTGGCTTTCTCTTGCCCTCTCTTTGCCCTTCCTCCATAGGATGACACAGCAAGCAAGAAGACCTTCTCCAGACGCCAGTGTATTGATCTTGACTTCCCAGCCTCTTAAACTGTGAGAAAATAAGTTTCTGTTTATTATAAATTACCCAGTCTCAAGTATTCTGTTATAGCAGCACAGAAGGGATTAAGACATACTTATTCATCAATATAAATAATCAACTTTCAACCACGTCCAAGGAACTTCCCTGGAGATCAGAGAATGTATATGACAGGTTCTATCCTCAAAGTGCTCCCAGTTTGTCCACCATAGTCTTTCCAAAATCTGCCCTGCATCACAATCAAAAGTGGAGATTAAAAATAGAGAGAGAGATGACTAAGTCTACTCCTAGAGTTTCTAGTTTATTCAGTCCAGTGTGGTAGTCATGTATTTGCATTATGAAATGTTACCTGAATAGTTCTGATGTGTAACCCTTTCTGAGAAACAGTAGCCTGGCGGATTGTAACTTCAATGCTCTTTCAAGTAATTGTTGCAGAACATCTAATATTTGTTGACTTTTTATTATTTTTTCAATAATCTTCAGTCATACTCAACAATGACCATAACTGGGCAGTGGAACTTCACTACTTGTGTATTCTTTCTATGATGACTAAATATAATCTAATTACTTTTTTTCTGTTTATTAACAAATCACAAATATACTATTTATGATTGCTTTTTTAATATTCCACCAAAAAGCTCCAGACATTTGCTTTTATACTTCTAGGAATACAGTAACACAAAACAATTTCAGCTTACCCAGACATTTAGAATTCTTTGCAAATATGATTTTTAGCAACCATCTGAGATGTGACATTTAGAAGATGGTCTATATTTGGGACCTCATCAATGTAGTTTGCCAGAAATAAAATCATCTGGAACAAATTCTTCCAAATAAAGCTTGCCTTAATATGTAAATAGTGTTACAAGGTCCAAGTTAATCATAATTATCTACTTAGGAAGTGAAAATACAGAAAAAATATTTTAATTAAAAATTGTTAAGATTTTATTCCTTCTTACAAAATAGAAGTGCTTAAATGGTTGATCACCAGCCATCAAATGAACTCAGTTGAGTAATTTTCAGTCAACTATTTTTTCACTCATCTAAAGCCAACGTGAACCTTTAATTATAATTAGTGATCCAAACCTGAGAAGAATTAAACATTTAACCTGGCACATATTATAAGTCACCTTATTTTTCAATTTATATCTCATAACAACCGTGTGCAGAAAAGCTATTATTATTCCAACTTTCAAGTAAGAAAATTCTGACTCAGTGACATTAAATGCATTGTCCATCATACCACTAGTGAATCTGTAACACTAGTAAATGGCAGAGTTGGGGTTCAAACCTGACTTAGATTAGAATGTCTGGGCCATGAAGAACTACAAAATAAATCATTGTTTTTAAACAGAAAGGCCCATATGAAAAATTAGGAGGGTTTTTAACTCTCCCTTATTACAAAATTCAGAAAAATTCAGCCTCCTAGATATAAAAAAGAAAAAAAGAAAAGAAAGAAGAAGAATCCCTAATAGTATTCTCTTTTAAAAAATTTTTAGTTTGGTATTAAAACATTGATTCTCTATAGTTTTAGCTCCAAATAATTTCAGCTCCATGTGTTTATAAAGGAAAATTTCAACAAGGCTGCAAAATGGTACTGAGAAGAACCTAGAAAGTATTGAGTACACTTTTAATCAGACCTAAAGTGATTCTACCATCATTGATGTAATAAAAATGATAATGATGAAATATTACTTTATTTTTATTTTGTTTGGAGTTTAAAAAATGGTTTCACATACATTTTATCATTTGATCAGCATGGCTAAATTGAATATTTTCCTATTCCCCTTTTCAAAACTAAATTGAGGCTTATGTTTACATTGCTATTAAGTAGTAGAGACAAGGCTGGAACACATATTTTTTGATATTTACTATGTATATTTATATATAATTTATATATTTTCATAAGTTTTATAAAATTTATATATAAAATTTAAAATACAAGACAAAAATTAGTAAATATACAAAATACAATTATATGATATAATTACAAAAATTAGTAAATATACTAAATATAATTATATTTAGTATATATAGTACATAAATATAATTATATTTAGTATATACAGTATATAAATATAATATAATTATATTTAGTATATACAGTATATAAATATAATTATATTTAGTATATACAGTATATAAATATAATTATATTTAGTATATTTACTAAATATACAGATATTTACTAATATAATTATATTTAGCATATTTACTTTATAATTTTTCAATGATAGATTTCATAGCTCCCGATTTAAGGAAATTCAGATCAATCTCCTATCTTTTTATCTTTTTATTTTAGTAACAATTCTTCAAAGAACACATATATATGTGCATATATATACCTGTATATTATATATATAAAATGTATTTCTATATCAGGCAAGTACCAGGTACTCAGGGTGCAAAATGGCCCAAAATAGGCAAGAGTATAATGGGTGAGACAGAAGATATTCATATGAATGTTTAATGACATACTGAGTAGGTTCCAGGCCAAAAGAGAACGTTATTCTATGATAGCCCAAAAACATTTTTCCTCAACTAGAGATTGGGGAAGCCTTTGCTACAGAAGTGACTATAGAGCTGCAATTTGAAGGGTAAGTAGGAACTAATTAAGTGGATGGAGGTTACCTTGACGAAAAAGAGTAAAGAAAATGTTTCCAAAAGAAGAAATAGAATGTGCAAAGATCCTGTGACACAGAGACAATGAAATACCAGAAAGGCAGAAAGAGGAGCCAAGTGGCTGGAGTGCAAAGAGCATGGTAGAGAGTGGTGCAAGGTTAGAATGGCGGGAGAGGCAAGAAATATGACCTATGATGGAGTTTGTCTTTTTGTTATTAATATGAAGGAGACCTTTACATGCCTTAGCACCACTATTTATCCACATTTATTTAACTGCCTTTAGTCTTGTATTTTAAATTTATTTATGAGTTATGTAGCTTTTCAGAAATTTTAAAATTATATACAATGAAATTGTCAGTCTTTTAAGACTGTTTTGCTTAACACTGTGTTTAGAAAGGCCTTTTCCCAATAGCCTGCAAATTTATAAAATTATCAGTTTATCTAAAACAACACCTTATCTGTCCTATACTTAATAACTGATTGGCAGCTGATAGAAGATATAGCAATTGCACTTTAGGAAACTCGGTGAGTGCAGAATGTCATATTTGGTCATTATAGGTAAAATTTAATCTTCACCTACATAATCATAAACATAACAAGCAAAGAGTGAGGATTAAACATAATTGTGGCAAGAATGATAATCAGATCATATTATATGTCTGTCTTTAAAACTTTTTAATCATTTTATAGAAATTCTATTTATTAAAATTATTGTTCCTTATAAAACTTCTTGGATTTGAAACTGATTATTTCTGGATGAATGACAGAATATTTAATATAGTCCAGAAAATTATATCCCATAAAAGTAAGAATAATATCTTGAGAAAGATGTGGGGAACAGTGTGTTTATGTTTGTGTAAGAGAAAGATAGAGAATGACAAAATAATATTTTACATTGCTTTCTCAGTTACTGCTATCTACCTAGAATATCACAACCCAATCTCAGAAGTCATCTTCGATTATTTCTTCACTTTTGTTTCCCATGCTCCTCCATCTCAACTTGGTTATCACATAATGTTAATTTTACTCCTAATGTTTCTCAAAACTATTCTTTTTTGAAATATCTACTGCCAGTTCTTTAATTCAAATGATATCACCACACACTCAATTACCAAAACTGTCTTTAAGCTGGCTTGATTTTACAGCACTTTCTCCAATCATCTATACTGTAAGCAATCATATCTATTTTTGAATCGCATTATGTCATTCCCATGTTTTAAAGGTCATCAATAAAAGACTGAGGGACTGCTACATACTAGAAGAGACTAAGCAGGAATGACAATTTAATGAAATATGGGATCTTAGGCAAAAATCCTGAAACAGATAGAAAAGTCATTAATAAAGAGGTTGGGCCGAAGCAGGTGGATCACTTGAGGTCAGGAGTTCGAGACCAGCCTGACCAACATGGTGATACCCCGTCTCTACTAAAAATACAAAAATTAGCCGGGAATGGTAGCTCCTGCCTGTAATCCCAGCTACTTGGGAGGTTGAGGCAGGAGAATTGCTTGAACCCGGGAGGCTGAGGTTGCAGTGAACCGAGATTGCGCCATTGCACTCCAGCCTGGGTGACAGAGAGAGACTCTGTCATTAAAAAAAAAAAAAAAAAAAAAAAAGAGGTTGGTGAATTTTGAAGAAGGTCTGCGGCTCAGTTAGTAATACTGCATCAATATCCAATGACTATTCTTGATAATTTCACTTTCATTATATAAGATGTTAACATTAGGAAAAGTGTAAAGAATATAAGAGAATTCTTTTTACCATTGTCGCATTTTTCTGAAAATCTAAAACCAATTTAAAATAAAAATTTAAAAACATAAAACTTCCAATGTCATCATACAACTTCTGCAAGTGAAAATCAAACTCTTAGCATGGCATGCAGAATTCTTTATGACCTGACACTGATTTACATTTTCATGCTCATCTCTAGTTCCTATTCCTTGCTATTGTATCTTCCTGCCATTCCACACACTCTCCCACCGCCATGCTATTTTAATTACCTTATTTCTTCAGCAGTCTATGTGCTTATAAAAAGAGATAGTTGCTCACGCCTGTAATCCCAGCACTTTGGGAGGCTGAGGCAGGCTGATCACTAGGTCAGATCGAGACCATCCTGGCTAACACGGTGAAACCCGTCTCTACTAAAAATACAAAAAATTAGCTGGCGTGGTGGCGGGTGCCTGTAGTCCCAGCTACTTGGGAGGCTGAGGCAGGAGAATGGCGTGAACCCAGGAGGCGGAGCTTGCAGTGAGCCGAGATCGCGCCACTGCACTTCAGCCTGGGTGACAGAGCGAGACTCCATCTCAAAAAAAAAAAAAAAAAAAAAAAAAAAAAAAAAAAAAAGAGAGGTAACTTCGACATCCCAATACTTACTGAGTATTCCAATTCATAAGCATTATACATAACTTCATTTATTTAGCTTTTCAAATAATTTATTTAAGCAATATTTTGTAGTATTCAGTGTACATGTCTTGCACCTTTGTCAATTTATTCTTAAGTATTTTATACTTTTATATTCTATTTTAAGTGGTACTTTTATTTTAATTTCCAAATTTCATTGCCAGAAAATATGGAAATACATAAGATTTTGTGTATTAATCTCATATCATGAAACTTTCTTAAACTCACTTCTTCTAGTTTCCTTTTCTGTAGGATTTTCTACAGAGAGAATCATGTCATCTGCAAATAAAGGCAATTTTACTTCTTTCTTTCCAATCTGTATGCCTTTTATTTCTTTTCCATGCCTTATTGCACCAGCTGGTACCACCAGTCCAATTTTGAATAGATGTAGTAATAGCAGCCACCCTTCCCCTTTTCCTGATTTTTAGGGAAAAATATTCAGTTTTTCACAATTGAAAATAATATAACCTGAAGGTTTTTGGACTATGCTCTTTATGAGTTTGAGAAAGTCTCCTTTTATTGCTGAGAACAGAGTTTGCTCAGGAATAGAGCTGTTCAGAGTTATCAGGAATGGATGTTAGATTTTATTGGAAGTTTTTTCTGCATCTATTGAGATAACCATATGGTTTTTCTTTTTTAGTCTGCTAATATGGGCAATTGCATTGATTGATTTCTGAATGTTAAATTATCCTTGCAAGGATAATGCTGGCTTCAGTAAATGGGTTAGAATATAGTCACACATTTTGAATTTTCTGGAAGAGTTTGTGTATAATTAATGTCATTTTTCCTGAAAAGTCTGGTAGAACTCACCAGTGAAACTTTCTGGGCCCGGAGTTTCAGTAGTGAGAGAGTTTATAAAATCAGTCTTAAAAACATATACAGGCATATTCAGGTTATCTGTTTCTTCAGGTGAGCTTTGGTAACGTTTATATTTCAAGGAATTTGCCTTCTTCATCTAAGTTGTCAAATTTACTGAAATAAAGGTGTTTGTAATATTCCCCTGAAATTTGAAGTGATGTCAGCTCTCTTTATACGATACTGATAATTTATATGGTATCTTCTTTGATCCCAACCAGTCTGGCTAAAGGTTTATCACTTTTATTAATTTTCTCAAAGAAACAGCTTTTGGTTTCATTGATTTTTCTTTGTTGCTTCTGTTCTCTATCTCATTGATTTCGGCTCTGATCTTCACAATTTCCTTTATTTTGCTTAATTTCAGTTTAGTTTGATTTTCTTTTTCTGAGGTAGAAGCTGTGATTGTCAATTTTAGACCATTCTTCTTTTCTAAAATAGACATTTAGTCCTATAAATTTCCCTCTATGTACTGCTTTAGTTTACCTTCTTTCTGCTGAATTTCCCCTATTATTCATGTATGTTATATTCACCTTTCCTGCTAACATATTAACCCTAGTTACTTTTATAGTCACTGTGATAATTCTAACATCTAGGATATAGCTCAATCTATTTTTGTTGCTTTACATCTTGACAATGGATTGTTTTTTCTAATGTTTCTTATAATTTTAGACATATTGCTGTAAGAGACTGCAGACTGAGGTAAATAGAATATATTGATACAGACTCTCCTCCTACCAGGCTGTTGGTGTATGGCTGTAGCAATCTAGTCAGGAATTGATATGGATATGTGTCTTGTTGTTGCCCTCACTATGTCCAGTGCACCACAGGCTTTGGATTCCTCTAGCAGCAGGCTGCTATTACTTTGTAGTATTTAGAATAGGGCCTGTGTTGCCAGAGATTTTTCCTCAGTGTTTCTTTTTCTCCCTCAGGTTTTAGTTGTCCCTTCACAGCTGCACCAAGTGGAGGTGCCTCTGTCCTCTGTGAGTCTTGGGTCCTTCCCCTGTGGTAGACATCTGTTGTGTGTTACTTTGCACAAGGTTATCGCGGACCTGGTCCAGCCTCCGTTTCACACAGGTCATGTGCAACTTGGGCCTAAGGGTGTTGTCACTGTTACTGCCCCTCATCTTTGAAACACCACCTTTCATTTGTGATTGGTCTCTGGAGAGTTTCCTGCCTCCCAGAATGTGCCAACCTTGGCTTATATCTGTGAAAGATCCTGGAACCAAGACAGTTTCCTGACCAGCTCCCAGGAGTCTTTACCAGTAGCAATAGGTCTTTGCATGTACCCCATAGATAAGAGGATTTTTCCCCCTTCCCCAAGATCTTAAGGCTTTTACTTTCTAGGGATAAAGGGTGAATAGATGGGAAAAACATAGTCAACCCTTGAACAATGCAGAGTTTAGAAGTGTCAACCCCCACAGTAAAAAATCCACCTATAATTTTTGACTACCCCAAAACTTAACGATCAATAGCCTACTGTTGCCTGGAAGTCCTACTAATAATGTGAACAGATTATTAACACATATTTCATACACTAATATATACTGTATCTTATAATACAGTAAACTAGAGAAAAGAAAATATTATTATGACAATCACAAGGGAACATGCATTTACAGTACTGTACTATATCTTCAATACCATAAGTTTACATTATCTGTTTATAAGATAAATTGTCTGTCTGAAATGCCAGTCAAACTCAGCTGCAGAGCTCAGTCCACGGTACACATCAAGCAATTAAACATTTCTTGTAATGTCATGGCTTCTTTTTTCTGCCTCTTGGAAACACTTCCAGCATCACTAGTCGCACTTTTTATGGGTCCCATGGTATTATCCAAGGTTTGCAGTATTGCACTAAACTTGGTGAAAACTATGCAAGAACTGTGAGAGGTTACTTTTTACTGCATGATACAATTTACTGGAGAGACAAACTGCTCACACTATGTTACTTGCAACATTTGACCTCACCACAGTTGCAACTGGAGTTGGCTGTGAAATTATCACAGTAGTACAATATGTACTACAGTTAATTTTATGCAGTTATAATTTAATGCCACATTTAGACATTTGTTTATATTTCTTTAGACTGGGCATGGTGCCATGTAAGGTCTGTAAGTGTGTGTGTAAGTTTTGATACATTTTAACTTCCCATAATAGATTTGTGTAAATTTTATAGTGGTAAATGATAGACTAGTATCTAGTCATAAAATAGACTAGTATCCAGTTTACCTTATGAATTAATGACCTACCTAACCATTTCTTATTGTTTAAAAATATTTCTAGGCTATACCATTCATATGTGAGTCTTTTTTTTTTTCAAATAGTTGCAAACCTCCAAGAAAATTTCCAATATATTTATTGAAAAAATCCACATAAAAATGGGCCTGCAGAGTTCAAACTCCTATTGCTTAAAGCCCAAGAGTACTATGCCTGGTCCCCTGCAGCCATAGTTCCACTCAGGAGAGCTCTGTTTCATATCCTTCTGATACCAACTTTCTCAAGAGCACTTGCTGGAAGAGTACTTCAATAGCCTGCAAATAAGTACAAACTCCCCTTGTGTCTGCTATTCCAAATAAATACAGTAGTTCACACTTAGCCTTTATGAGTTCATAAAAATTGCAAGTGATTCTTCCTAGCCTGTGTGGAAGACAGTAACCTCTTACTCCTAGATTATCTCTAAGGACAGACTGTTTTGTGTTCTGTCTCTCTTTGAAAGTACTTGTCCCTCTTTGGATGTTGGGTTATTTGGTTACTTTGAGAAAAGTTACAGCTTGAAAAAAATTAGAGTTTAATAGATTTTTGGCTTTTTCTCATTGTGCAGGTGGGAAAAAGTGCTTTGTATCTTTTTACATTCAAAGCAGAGGAGGAAGTTTGCTCCTTGATTATTCCTATAACATACTTAAGTGCTTGTTGCATTGTAATTACCTTTATGTGTCAGTCTTCTGGATTTGACATTGTGTTTTCCAGTGCTTTTTTTTGACATTGTGTTTTCCAGTGCTTATAAACTCAGTCACTGTTTTTAATTACATTTAAACAGACTTCAAGTAGTAGTTTTGATTAGAAAGAGTGCACTGCTTCTGAATAGCTCCATGGATAATTTTTTTTCTTTTATGAATATTTTATATATTGACAGCTTTGTCATTCAGGCACACACACTACATAAAGAAAAATCATAACTCTTCATGAGAACTCTCTTATCATGGCCCATAGGCCCTTTATAAGCTTCTGCCTGGCCATGAATATAACCCAAACTCCTGTTTCCATCAGCCTTTCTCACTCTATTTTGGCTCACTCATTGGTTACCCTGTTTTGTGAATTCACTTTTCCTTCTATTTCTTCTGTGTGGAGTACTCCTCACCTAGATATTCCTTCATCTTATTTCTTCATGCAAATCCTCAGTTCCTGCAGCCCCACTCATTAGCATCCCTGTTATTCTTTATGTCCTGACCTTACTTAATATTTTCCTTAATAGTTATCATCATTTGATTGTATTTTATATATCTATTTCTCTATTTTTACTCTTTCTTCCTCACTAAAATATAAGCTACATAAGAGCAGGAGCTTTATGTGTTTTGCTCAATGCCTTATGCCCTAAACCTAGAACACAGATTGGTCTGTTTTAGGCACCTAATGAACATGTCGTGAATGAATAATTGAGTAAACAGGAAAGGTGTGGTCTAATCATTAGGGCAGACATGGTGTAAAGTAGGTTAGATATACTATACATGTCCTGTTAGCCCTAGTAGCTCATTTTATGTTACTCAGATTTTACTTTTTTTACAGAAATAATCCACTCCTGCTGATAAAGAAGATCCCTAAATGGAGTCAACAATAGTATGAGGAAGAGAGTGGAAAGAATCTGCCCTTCATAAGAAAAGTGTTGTTTGGCATTCCCTATGCACACTATTTGAAAATATTGATATTCTTTTGTAATAAGACTAGAATATATAAGCTCTATGAGAGGAAAGATACACATTTTTAAAAACTCAGATATGCTTGGCGTATAGAAGAGTTCAGTAAATATTTCTTAAACTGTGAGTATAACGTAATAAATTAGAACATTTAATTCATAGCTAGAAATTCATAGCTAGCATACTCCACAAAAGCTTTTATAGTAGTGATATATCAAGTACAGTCTGTTGCCTGTTTATTCTGTAAACATTCATTTCAAAAGTGCCTAAAGTTTTATTTGACTAAAATGATCTTGTAATAAGATATATTTTAGATAATTTTAAAATTGGCAGAAGAATGTATTTTGGTTTAAAATGAACTTAAATGGCTATTCTATTTATTTTATAGCAACTATCAAAACTCATATGACCTTGGTAATATAGTATATTCATTCTAATTCATTATGGTTTCTCTTTTTTCTTCTATCTTTAATCAGTGATTCTATCTTGATCTGATTAAGACATATAGTTGGCAGCAGGAGCTGGATCACAGTTATCCATTCATGAATCAATCATTATTATTACAATTTTTTGATAATCACATTTCACTTAGCATAAAATGCATTTGGATTTATTCTCTGCCAGGAAGTAATCTTTTACCATCTGCAGTTTGTTATCATATTCTAATTTCACTAATAATGCCTTTCAACTTAGTAGCAGAAGCATTTCTATTTCTGGGGAAAAAAAACTGTCTATGCACTTTACAAAGCTATGGAACAGTGCATGAGGTCAGAAACACTATTTAATGGTTAGCTTGGCCCCTGCTAGCAGCAATTATGAAGTGAAAGGAGATAATTCCTGAAAAATATAGTATAAAATTTGTGGCAAAAGACAGCTTTTCACTCAGTCATGTGGACTCCTTTCTCTGATATGTTTTTATAAGTAGTATTGTGCAAGTTTAAAAGGACTGTATTTAAATATTTGACACTAATACTTTTTGTGTGCAACTTAAATATAAAAAGGTAATGTTTCTTCTAAGTGAAGACATAAAATCAAAACACTAGGCTAACAGAAAAATCTTTCTAACCATTGACATCAGCATGAAAAAATTAAAAACTGAAACAACCAACAACCAAGTAAGCCCCCATTTTTCCTACTATTGCCTAGAATCTGTTGCTTTCAGAGAAAAGGCATGAGTAAATGTGCTCGCTCTATAATCTAGAGGCCTAAGTGTAAGTGAGGAATCTTGATTTTTAGTTCCAGTTTAGATGTGAATCAGTGTTGTGCTTGGGCAAAAGTCATTTTTCTCTTTGGGTTTCAGTTTCTTCAGGCATTAAAGGCAGTGATTGACCGACAAGATGGTTTTCAGGCACCTCTCTCAGGAGAAAACATAACGACATTTCTCTCTTATTCTCTTCTCCTTGCTTCAATTACTGACCAGTCCTTCCTCCAGTTGGCACATTCTAACTTAATTGGTTACCTTTTGACCTGAGAAAATTCTGTTTCTTCAAAGCGGCTTTACATACTCAGGATTCATTATCAGACATTTTTACTTTACTGTTTCTATGTTGGGGGTTGGGTGCTACTAGAGTCAGTACACCCTTGTAAGCTTACAGTGATAGCAGTATGATGAAATCTATTTATAATATGCCTTTTAAATAATGTCCTGGTATTTTGGATATTTTTCCCCCCACTGTGTAAGGGTTTATGGATTTTTCAGAGAAATGCTTTCCATTTACAATGAAACCAATTTCTTCTAAGTATATATATACACACATGCATATATATATACATACACGCACATATATATTATACACACACACATATATAATATATAATTATATATTAATATTACATGGATTGATATAGTTTGGATGTTGTCCCCACCCAAAACTAATGTTGAAATGTAATCTCGAATGTTGGAGGTGGTGTCTTGTGAGAGGTGATTGGTTCATGGTGGTGGCTTCTCATGAATGGGTTAGTACCAGCCCCCCGATACTGTCCTTGTGATAGTGAGTCAGTTTTGGGAGATCTGGTCACATAAAGTGTGTAGCACCTCCCTCCTCTCTCTCTTGTTTCTGCTCTGGCCATGTGATGTGCCTGCTCCCCCTTCACCTTACACAGTGATTATAAGTTTCCTGAGACATCCCCAGAAGCCAAGTAGAAGCCAACATCATGCTTCCTGTATAGCCTGCAGAACCATGAGCCAATTAAATCCCTTTTCTCTATCAATTACCCAATATCAGGTATTTCTTTATAGCAATGCAATAATGAAATAATACATGGATGTATATAAAATCACATTTAACACCTTCTCTTCCCCCACACCTCCCCGCAGAATAGAAAAGAGGTAAAGCTCTAACACGAGATTACTGAATTTTTTTTTTTGTAAATAGGAAAGGCTACTTTGAGTAGGAAATTATGTTTCTTGTGGATATATATCAAAGAAGCAGTCTCTAGAAATAACATTTCTGATGAAGACATTCTCTTCCCTATATCTTTACAGGAAACACAGTAATCTTGTATAATTGATTACATCTACTATGACATAGTTCCCTGAACTCTTTTCACAAGTGATATCCATAGAAATTGTTTTAACGAGAGTTAGATGTTCCAATTGCAAAGAAATGTTCTGTCTGCAGTAATAACATAATGATATTTTCCATAATTCTGAAAATTTCATTTCAAAGCCTTTTTAATCTCCTTTCACCCCCACAAATGAGGCAAATACAGTACTATGATCACTCTTTACTTTACACATACTTGTACACAGTGACCATTGTACTCTGCTTGCCTCGTAAGGTTTTTGCTAGTCACAAATTAAAACATGTATCAGAAAGTCCTTTCAACAGCAAAGTTATACTTTACTATAATTTGCATTACCATTATTCACATTTTTTAAACTGAAGGATTCTAAAGTATAGCTTAGCATAAAATGCATTTGAATTTATTTGGAGTTATTGATTACTGAAGATCATAATCACTTTGAGATTAAAGTCTATAACCAGTGATTCAATCAACTATTAAGGATATGCCCAAATGAATAAAAAAGAAAAGGTAATACCAGGTCTTCTCACTCTTTAGAAGCTTACAGTTGCATTGAAGATTCTAGGCTATTCAACATTAATCAAATACAGGTGAAATATTTTAAAAAGGCATATAATTAAATATGTAAATATTACTTAGGTTCAAAGAGGACACATGCTGTAATATGATTGGAACTAATTTAGCCTAAACTAGTTGGATAATCTTTGCTTAAGAGGCACATTAACTCTTAAGTCCTTTAAAAAGGGTACCAGTTTTTAATTATTTTTTTTTACAGGCACAGTGTCCCTGCTTAATAAATATTTGTTAAACAAATAATAAGGTGGCTCTTGAAAGTTTTTTTTTCTAACTGAAGAGGAAAATCTCTTTTTCTTGATCTTAGCTTGAGCTAAAATAGGGTAATCATAAGTGCTATGGTCTGAATGTATGTGTTCCCCCCAAATTCGTATAATAAAATCTCTCTCAAGGTGATGATATTAAGATGTAGGGTCTTTGGGAGGTGATTAAGTCATGAAGGCAGAGCCTTATAACCTGATGAAATAACTTCAATGGGATAAGTAACCTTATAATAGAGGCCTGATGGAGCTTCCTTCTCCTTCCACCATAACAGAACATGGGCCCTTACAAGACACCAAATCTGCTGGCACTTTGATGTTGGACTTCTCAGCCTCCAGAACTGTGAGAGGTACATTTCTTTTGTTTATAAATTACACAATCAAAGGTATTTTATTAGAGCTGCCTGAATTAACTAAGATGATAAGGGTGCTTGGCAAAAGAGATAATTTAAGAATTAATGGAAATACCATCTCAAAAAACATGTACTACCTCTAGGTTTCTGGGCAACCTCACTGCAAATAGCTCAACTTGTAATGCAGTCATCAGAGAAAGGCTTGTCATAATTCAGTAATCATCCCTTATTTACAATTTTGCTTTCCATGCCTTTAGTTACCTGGAGTCAACCATGGTCTGAAAATACTAAATAGAAAATTCTAGGAATAAGCAATTCATAAGCTTTAAATTGCATACCATTCTGAGTAGCATAATGAAACCTCACACCATGCTGCTTCTTCCCTCCCAGGATGTGAATCATCCACACTGTACATGCTACCTACCCATTAGCCACATAGTAGCCATCTGGGTTATAAGACAGACTGTCTCCATTATTAAGTAAAATAAGTAGAGCTTGTATTCAAGTAACTCTTATTTTACGTCATAGTGGCCCCAAAGTGCAAGAGCAATGCTGGCAATTTGAATATGCCAAAGACAAACTGTAAGGTGCTTCCTTTAAGTGAAAAGGCAAATTCTTGACTTAATAAGGAATGAAAAAAAATCATATGCTTAGGTTGCTAAGATCTATGATAAGAAAAAGTATTTTATCTTATTATAAGATAAAAATATTTCTACATAATTCTGAAATTATACAAAAAGAAAAAGAAATTTGTACATAGTACATATAGGCTACAGTATTATCTATAGTTTCAGTCGTCTACCAGAAGTCTCGGATGTATTCCCTGTAAACGAGGGAGGACCAATGTATTAATTTAAGAGGAGGAATTTCATAGAGTACCAGGAATTATAAATAGCATGGAAAAGTAGTCATTTCTGTGTCAGGCAGAGAGAACTGCTGATTGAATATTAATTTGTCCAGGCAAATCTTTATCCAGGAATAGTAATTATAGTCCCTCTTATCCTCATCAAATAATGGTCTATTTAGTGACCAAAGGTTTAATAGTAATGAGATGAACAGATGTAGTGAAATTACTGTGTTACTTTTCTCTATATATCTTAGTACCATCACATGTTAATTTTCTATGAAATCTTTATAAAAAGGGAGAACAAATACCATTTTGATAATGACATTTGGTCAGTGTATAATCTAAACTCCGGTGTGCTGGTTACATGTGTATGCTCTGAAACTAGAATGCCTGAGTATTAACTCTGGTTCTATGCTTTTTAGCAGTGTAACTTCAGGGAAGTTACTTAACCTCCCTGAGTTTCATTTTCCTCACCTCTAAAGTGGAAATGGTATCATTATACACCACACACCACTAAGTATCACTATGGGAACTGAATGAGTTAGTATATCTTAGAGCAGTGACTGATACATAGTGAACACTCAGTAAATGTTAGCCATTGTTTTTAGATTTGAATTTTCAAGTCAACGGAATCCAGAAAGACTGTGTGTAAGCTAGTGTATTTAGCAAGGGCAGATGGGATACAGCTAAACAGGAGCTTAAAGAACCATAAGGAAAAATGAACTGTTAACAGTTGTAGATAAAATTTTGAATCACTATTGATACAACAAATGACTACCAGCTACCTGCTTCATGCAAACCCGTGTTTGGTGCTGTAATTCAAGAAAATAATGAATTCCATGAAAATTCCTTCTTGCATCCCAAGCTTTAGTTCTGAATTTTAGGTTTTTAACTGTTCTTACAATGTTCCTATCTCACATCTCTTGCATATCTTCTTTTAGTAGCATTTTCAGAAAGAGATCAAACTTGTTTTCCAACCTGGGGATGCCTTTAGAGCTACACATAAGTTATGACTGGGAGAGATAAAGTAAAAACAGTCACTTCTTTTGGCTTTTCCATGAGTGCAATCAGAGGAATCAGCTAAAATAATTAAAGCTATCAGCTTGAAATTTTCTCTTACTGTGAGTAAATAAACTTGTGCAAATTGTGTATGTCCCTGAAACATCTTGCTAAGACACTGTGATGAAACCAATGTCAATGACACACAATGACAGTCTGGTTTTTTAATCAGAATTTAAATGAGATAACTTTTAAATATAATCTCTCAGTTTCTGAAATTTTAAAACTAGGTTATGATCATCTCATGATTTACAGAACTCACTTGGGTTTTTTTCTCTACTCACCAATAAGTAAAAAATGCAAACAAAATTTACTAGTATGATCTCAAAAATATTTTTTAAATTTTAACACATTTTCCTCCCTATATTTCCCCCGTTTTTACTTTGTATTGAAAAACACAAAAACACGATAGCCTCAATCTTATTTAGTAACTCTTCTTAAAATGACGAATAAGTTTTGAAGAGTATCATTTCCATTTATAAAACAACAGAATGATTCGCCAAATCTATAATGGAAACAAGTAACAATCTACTTGGAATAAGCACATTCTTCAATCAATTCATTATAGAAATTTTTAAGACAAGGATGATTAGACTGAAAACAAACTTAACTAAAGCATTAACATGAAATGTCATTAAACATATGCTAATATACGTAGAAGACTGACACCAACTATTTGGGATGCAGTAGAAAATTATTGGAAAATAAGGCCAATTTCATTTCCTTTCAAGTTTTAGATGTGAAACACAATAATCTCTGGTTCAAGCAAAAAGATCTGGAAATTTGGTTAAACCCAATCTTTTAGTTAGTAATTCACAAGGATGCTTTCTACCTTGATGAAACCCATGCAGTGTCACCTACTCTGTCCTGACTTTGTGCTTGCCTATTAAGGAGAAACAACATGGAAGAAAAAGCCTAGACAAAAGCTGGTAAATGTGGAGAGAGAAACAATCCACACTGGTAGAAGCTCTTGAATTTAGTATATGTCCTGGCAAGGAGCTAGTAAATGCTGTTATAAATTTATTTTACATTTCTAAAATTATAATTCTATTGTAATTCATAAAATTATAAAATTAGATCTTATTTCCAAAGCTCCAAGCAGTAGGTCACATTACTATTTCAAAGCAGAAAAAGAAAATGCATAGGAGAGAGTTACACACAAAAAAAGGCATTCTTGATTTTATTATCTGTAAGTAGTGATGGAAAAAATACAAGAAGAAAAATATATAAATAGATAGTATTAGGTTGGTGCAAAACTAGCAAAATCTGCAATTACTTTTGCACCAACTTAATATTATGTTATTATATATATTATATTTTAATAAATTAATGTTATAAGTTTTACTGTTATATAGTGTATACCATTAACATTGTAACATGTAAATGTAACATTAACAGCGTAATATGTTAAACATGGAATATTATTAAATATAATATATACACATACATATATTTCTTATGTTACTTAAATTTCTGATATTGTGGGACATTGAGAAAAGATAATTCCTTTAACTTTAAACAAAATATATTTAGAAACTACACGGTAGGCTTTGGTGAATAAAATACAATTCTTGAATTTAAATATTTTTTAATCAATACGGAAATTCAGCCTGGATATATAACTTCCTAAATAATACTTGTACAATTCAGTTTATTTGTCTGCAAAAAGGAGATATTAATGCTTACAGGTCTACTTAGAAACATTAAAATTTTTGAAAGATGTAAGCTCTGATTCCAGTTATTAAAAGACAGTTACTTTTTCATTTCAAAATTCAAAACTATATAAAATAAAATATTTAGTCCCAAAGATGAAAATGCTTATTAGAAAAATCAACACTATCATCCACAATTTTTACACTTGACAGCTAACCATTAGTCACATCCTAAGTATCAGCCAAGATCATTTCTTATGTTTTACTCTATACATTTGAGTATATCCATGTATAGGCTGTGTAAGTGGGAGGAAAATGAGATTGGTTCACAAGGAGTTAGGAGAAATTAATTGCAGATTTGCTGCCCTGAGTAAATACTCCTAAAGTTTATTGTAAAACTTGATTGTTATAAAGTATGTATCTTCTGCACACAATTCCCTATGCAAAACCCATTAAGGATTGTGCTAAAGATGATCAAATTGTTAAGTGAAACAGAATCCTTCATATACAGAATTATCAGATGTGAGTGAAAACATGCACACCTCTTAGTGTCAATCTCTTTTATTTAAGGTTAAAATGATATCATTATAATTCTAAACTGCAAATGCTTCCCATATGTTGAATTTCATAGTACTATTTATTCAATTTCTCCTTTCGCCCGAGAAAGTTTTGTATTTCAAAATAAAGAGAGTGTAAGAAAGCCCAAACATCACTGTTACCAGATAAGAGTCTTGAAACAGAATGCAGCCATCTCACTACAATTAATACCTCACTAAAATAAGTTTGCTCTCTTTAAATAGTAATGTCTTCAACACAACAGATAATTTTATATTAGGATAAAATATTTTCAGGCAACTTGTTTTATTCATAGATATATGCAATTTTAAATTGTCTTTTAAAGATAGTGAAGATCTAAATGAGAATAATTAAATCAGAAACAATTCTTATACTATTTTAGTAAGTGGCACTGACATGGAAACTGCCTCCTTTCCTGAATACAGAAAATACTTTTATAGAGTCAAGGTCAACTTCGTTCCCTTTCAAGAGTTTAAAAATGTTGAATTGACTTTAAAACTATCTAAAGGTTTATTTTAATAATACATAATGGAAATGATCTCTCTTTTTAGCCCTGAAGTGACTTTGACAAACTCTAGTTTCACTTTCTTGAGTATGAATGAAAAGATTAAGACAAAAAAAATCAGGAGGAATCAGAGTCAAAGAAAATGTTTGATATTTTCTTACTGTTGTATTCACATTATCACAGGGAGTATAACTAGTGCACAACACATGTCTAATGACGCTCTTTGGTGAATGTATCAACAACTATCTTTACCATCTAGCCAGAAAAGACATTATATAAGAGATAAGCAAATATGATTCTCTTCATATCTTTGTATGGATATGAGGACAACTTTATAATTGCTAGATTACTTCTCTTCCTCTTCTTCCTCATTCTCCATCTTATTTTGAAATTTTGGTAAATATAAAATGTGAAAAGAAAATAATAACTGAAATTCTTACCACTAAAAATATATTATCAAATTATATTCCCAAGTTAAAGATACAGCATATTTTATATTTAGATGTATAAGATTTAGAGGTTATGTAAATGAGAAAACCTTAAGCTCAAATCCCTTTAAAAGTGATATTTGTTAGAATGAATTATATAGCTCCTGGGAATAAAAGAATTAACAGCAAGTCTGTAACTGCCTCATTTCCTCCTGGGAGGGGTCAATGTCCACCTTAATCAGACCTCTTATAAATATTCTAATGTATTACCTAGCTGAGCCACAGGACAGGTGCTCTTATCTAAGAATGTTTTTGAGGTTGAGGCTATTCTTAGTCTAACTAGATTGCTTAGTGTAAGTAAGCCCTATTTGTGAATTAACCTGGCATTTACGGATTCCTCGAAAGCACTTGACTGGAGAATAGAAGCTGTCAGGTAGTGTCTACCTCAATGTGGTAGCCAAGTGTCTAAGAAGTCATACACTTTCTGGGTGCTTAGCTGTCATTTAAAAAGCAAAATGTGTTCTAGTGTGGAAAAAGATACTTTTGGTAGCTGCACCAGACAGGATGGGGAATATTCTAGAGAAGACTGCTGTATCTCTGCTTAGTTTTCACTTGTGCCTTTTACCCATCATTACTAAATGCCACTGTTTAGTATTGTGAGTTGCTAGTCTGCTTTGATAATTCAGCCCTTTATGGTACAAGCAGTTCCCAGCCTTCACTTTCTTCTTTCATAGAATTGTACGTCAATACCCTTTGGCATATTATGTTGCAATGCCCATCACTAGAATTGTTGGAGTTTATTTTTCTATCCATTGATTTTAAGCTTGGCCATATGACTTACTATAGTCAATGGAATGCTAGTAGCCAGGATTTGGCCTTGTCTCTGGTACGTCTACTATCTATCAGAAAAGCATGTTCTATCTAGCCGCTGGTCCCCAAATAAGAGACATGTGAAGCCCATCTGAGCTGGCCCTTCATAGCCTGAATCAGAAAAATCCCAGCCCACTCACAGATAAGAAAAATAATTTTATTGTAACCCCCTGAAATTTCAAGGTATTTGTTAGGCATTAAAAAAAAAAAAAAAACAAGAAAAACCTGATGAATATATAAAATTAAAAGAGATATTTCTACAATGGCTATTTATTTATTTATTTATTTATTTATTTATTTATTTATTTTGAGATGGAGTCTTGCTCTGTTGCCCTGGTTGGAGTGCAGTGGTGCAATTTTGGCTCACTGCAACGTCCGCCTCTCAGGGTCAAGCAATTCTCCTGCCTCAGCCTCCTGAGTAGCTGGGATTACAGGCACATGCCACCACGTCTGGCTGATTTTTATATTTCTAAGTGAAGTGGGGTTTCACCATTTTGGCCAGTCTGGTCTCGAACTCCTGACCTCAGGTGATCCACCTGCCTTGGCCTCCCAGAGTAATGGGATTATAGGTGGGAGCCACCACACCCAGCCTTTAATAGCATTTTATTTCACCTGTTGCATAACATACTTTCAAACTTGCATTTAAATTAACTAGCCAAATTGGCTTCTGCAAAATTTTGTAAATTTATTTTTGAAAAACAAACTAAAACAAAGTCATTAGGAAAAAAGTTAGCAAAAGTAAAAATATATGTGTTGAAAAGTCACATATTGTAGAATTAAGAATGATCTAATCCTTCCTGCCTTCTTTGGCTATTTCTATGAGCACTTATGGCCCCGTGAAATTACAATTATCATCAAGTTAACATAAATGCTATTCCATTTCATTATATAATTATGTTTTCCTACAGAAGCTGATACTAGCATTTAAAATATGTGACTTTTGGAAAAACATATCATTCCAAATATCTAGAAAATTGACAAGGAAATACTAATTAGCATTTCCTTCCATGGAAACACAAATACTTTATCAGAATATAGCAGGCAGTCAGAAACCTACTATCTGCACATGTGGGAGGACCCGGAGGAGAATATTTCCTTACCATTTGAAAAGTCCAATTTTTTATTTTTCCAAAAAAGCAAATGAATCAACATAGCTATGACAATCTACATTGAGACAGCTTCAGTTTGACTAGACCCAGAGGATAGAGGCTGCTGCTAACCTCATTAACTGGGGAGTCTAAAATGCTGTCAAATTACACACGCAGGGAGGTTTTCCAGTAAACGACAGCATTTCATGCCAAAGCAAACTCTCTCCATGAAAATATCTAGCTGAGCTTTGACTAAACATAAACTTTTTGTTGATCTTAATTTAAACTATAAGCAGACAAAAAAAATCTCTGAGAAAGGAGTACATTAAAAAAAATAGTCTGTGGGCACAATGAACTCAGGTAAAAAATAGTAAAGATGATAGTGGTCTAGATAATTTGAAAAAGAAACTATCAATATAATTGGTATCAGGATTATATATTTAATGACCTTGTTTTATCCAGTAATAAGGTGATAGTTTAAAAACATACTTCTCAGAATACTTTTTTTTTTTTAAAGATCACTGTATTTGGAAAATACAGTGAGGAAAGTTTAAAGCTTTTTGAGTAATAGAATTATGTTTCATTTATCTTTGTATATGGCATAGAACATATGTTTAATTAGAATGTCTTTCTTAACAGAAAAACGTTAAACTAATATTTGGCATATCCATAGAATGAAAAACATAGTACTGTTAACATATTTCATAACAATACATAAAGTGTCCAAATCAATCATCATAAAATTGAAAATAATTTGATTCAACAATTAGTCCAGTGGCTCTTAACTAGGAGCAATTTTGCTCCCCCAGGTGACACTTGACAATATCTGCATACATTTTTTAATGCATCAGGACTGAGAAGCATGTTACTGGCCACTAGTGAGCATGATGGAATTGCTGTCAAACATCTTACAATGCATAGGATGCCCACACAACAAAGAAGCATCCAGTCCAAAATGTCAGTCATGTTGAATTTAGGAACTCTCCCTTTGTCTGAAATGAAACAACTCATTTGTCCAAATAATTTGAATTTCTCATTTCAGACTTCAATAAAAGTTGGAGAAATCTTGAAACCTTTTTCTCTTCCAGATTGGAATATTAACATTTTATACTCATTTGCCTTAATTATGTTTCTGTATTTCTGCCATGCATTTCAAATGTTATCAAATGGAAGAGTGCTCCTTGCATTAACCTGATTGATACATTTACATTATACATACTTGCCCCTCAGCAAGCTCAAATTACTAAGAGCTCCTGGTGTTTCTAGAGATAGAATTTACTTTTTGGTGAAATTTTGCAAGGTGGCTTCTTTCTACTATGTGATCAAGTGCAATGCAAATGGTTATACAGCGTCAGAACAGATTGAATACACACCTGTTTTGCTGAAGTATTACTAGCATTCTGATACAAAGGCAACCAAGTAGTAACAATTTCTTTTATAATGCAGTTATTTTAATATACTGAAATTGCATTAAATTTACTGGGTAAAGAAAAGCATTTATTTGGAATGAGCCAAATGAAAGATACTTTTAATTAGGATATTTAAAATAATTTTAGAATTATATAACTTAAAAATATTTTTAAACATTAAAAATGTACATATATGATGCCTTAAGAAAATTCAGTATGTAATAGGAAGAAAAGTTAGTTCAACTTAAAAATTGAGAGTTTGGAGAACTTTTCTATTTCCTGAAGTAGAACAAGTATTCTACCTTAAACAGTGATTTAAGCAATAACGGCACACATAGCAGAGAGCTTACTGATTACCAATTTCAATGGTGTGGAAGGACAACTAAAAAAAAGCCACGATTTCTTTGGCAAACTCATTGCCTCTTAGTAGTTGAACTAAGTCCAAATAAAAACAAATGGTGATGAATATAGACATTCCCAATTCTAAAGTGAATGAGTAGGAAAATAGTGAAAAAATAGAAAAATATTTAAAATTTCTCATAAAAGCAATTGCTGAGCAAAGTTTAATAAATATAGTCACTTTACTGTAAAGTATAGCTATGACCCCTAGTAATTTATTCATACTGGTCAGCAAATATTCAGAAAAATTGGCTTCTTGAAGATTCTTTAAATTAATGCACACTGTATTAAGAGTGCTTGAGAAAAGATGAAGTTAAATCTAGCTTTTGTTGTTAGTTTATTATTCCAGTTATTCATATTATTAAATTTTAATAATCCACACAGGGTTTTAAGTAAACTTCACTGAATCTGGCAATTCAATGCACAAGATTCACTGAAGCACACTAACATCCTTCTTTATTTTGGGGAAAATTGAAGAATAAAACTGAAGGTATAACATATACAATGAAAAAAAGTCAGTAAAGTCTGAATTTTACAGCATGACTATTTGCATCAACTTTTAATGTCATTTTACTTCCTAAAAATGGAGGGGAATGACGAATTGAGTAAAAATCATCTTTGAACACACTCATCTTGACAAGAAATGAAACTTTGACGGAATTGCCTAGCAATCCTACCTGAGCTCACTGCATACCTGAAATATAAACTTAATATTAAATGCAGATAAGAATTCTGGCGGGTGCTGTTCATTGAATATTATAATGTTTTCCCCTTCCATTCTTTTCCCTTGCCCGTTTCCCACTTCTGAGGCTAAAATAAACAAATACTCTTCTTCCCAGACTAGTTTGAGGCTAGGGGAGTTCATTGACACAGTTGTAGTCAATGAGACTTAAGGAAGCCCTCCTCAAGGTTAGCAGTCCTGATAAAATCAATAACGCATACGTAGAGATGTTTTACTTTATGTCTTTTTTATTTTTCCTGGCCACCCTCATCTTCTTCTTGCTTTGAAACATAGTCATGTTAGCATGTGAGTTATGATGCTGCTGCAGCCATTTTGTGACCATCAGGGAATGAACAACAACAACAAAAAATTCAAAGAATTCTGGAACCAAGTGTCTCTCGACTTTTTCTTCTAAATAATACATGCTCTTACATTTTATGTGACTGTAGGTCACATTATGTTTCTTTTTGTTAAAAGCTTTACTAACTGAAACAGGGACACTGAAATATGTACCTGTCAAGCATAAGTAATCCCATTTCTATATTGGGAAGTCGTAATTGACATTGACCAAATATACTAAGATGTCTAAGAAATCTCTGTCTTTCTAACACACACACACACACACACACACAGACACACATACACACTCACACACTTCAGTCACTTTTCCAGTTTCTTTTGGTCTCTTCGCAAGTTTCTCTTCAATTATATAGAGCTGTATGTCCTTTAATTCCTTCTTGTTTTTATTTGCATGCTTATTCTCATTACCAATATTTTATAAAATTGAAAAACATTTTTACTTCGGATTTATAAAATTCTGTCCAGAATATTAAACTCAGAACAATTTTCTATTATAATGATCCTCGTGGCAGATACTTGTGTTTAATCTGGCAAAATTTAAAAGAAAGGAATGACCTGATTCTAATTATCTTACCTGTAGAATGCATGAATTAAAACTATTGCAAACACAGCAAGATTCAGTAGCTAAGCAATAGGTGAGAAACTTGAGGGCAAGAAATTCTGTGCTTTCTTCACTGTCACTGTATTTGGCCTTAGAAAAGTAATTTACCCAATAGTTTGAAATCAATGAGAAACATATATTTATCATGCACGAATATAACTGGAAATTAATACTCTTATTAATGAACAATAAGTTAGAAATAAAAAAGGTAATTATAATTGAAAAAGGGTAGTTAGAAATTGAGGGTGGTAGAATCTGGGTTCTCCTCATTGTTTACTTAGAAAGTTCAGATTATTGCATTAGAAGACCTTGTTTCAGGCTTAGTGGAATCTTCAGATATGCTACTCTTTCATTTATTTTTTTTTCTAGTCTATGCAGCATTAAAGTGAAATCCATGTTCCTTCATTTATATTCCTACTTCAATCACGCAGTGGCTGATTCTGATCACTATTATTTCCTTTGAGAACAGGAGCTTTATAATCAAGTGAATGATCAGTGTGGTTCTTCCTCCAGACCTCTTAAGCTCATAAATAAATCCCCATGGTCAGCTACCTCTAAGCTGCTGATAGAAAACAATCAATGTGCAGATCTGACCTCCATTAAACAACATCTATAACTCGAACATATGTTTCTTTTATGTTTCAAAATACTTTTCCTTTTCAGTTTGGGTGAGGCTTGATATACTCAGTTTGCATAACAGTCCATATGTAGCAATTCTACACCCCTGCAGGTTTCCAAACTGCTCTAAGAGATAAAGATGTCACTGCAACACACAGAAACCTATGTGGGACCTTAATGAGTTCAGAAGATGATGGCATCATTAAGGCAGCAAAGAATTCAGAAAAGCAGCATGTCGTAAACTAAGAGTGTGAATTCAAAAGGTGACTTTTGGAGATGAGGGGAGCATAAAGGGGGTTCTTTCATAATACTATTGGAAAGGAGTTTAGTTTGTAAATGAGTTACAAGGACAGACTGTAGCTAAATAGTAGCAAGAAATTTCAGCGGATACATATTCTTGTATTTGTAAGCAAATTAAATATAAAAGTCCTAAGATCATGCTACCCAAAAGAACACACTTTATGCTTTTTGTTTTTTTACTTCCAGAGACAAATATAACAGTAGAAATCAATTTGTTCAATAAAATAATTTGGAATTTAGAGTGAATTATTCAAGGCTTTCAGGTTGTTTTAAGTCAAATGTATTATATTTTTCTTCATGAGGAAAAAACTTACAAGAAATACTAAGTTTTGATTTGGTAGGCTATCCAATTTATTATCATTTTTTATATGTTTTTGTTGTTGTTGTTGTTGTTTAATTATACTTTAAGTTTTAGGGTACATGTGCACAATGTGCAGGTTAGTTACATATGTATACATGTGCCATGCTGGTGCACTGCACCCAGTAACTCGTCATCTAGCATTAGGTATATCTATTATCATTTTTAAAGTTAGTTTTTAACCTCTGTGGGCAAGTGAAGAACCTATGAATGAAACATAATAGTGTGGAAAACCCAGCACTGCTTTGTCAACCTAGCAACCTCATCACTGCTAGACCACAGAGAGAGGGGTGGAACTTTGTGCAGTAAGGTCTCATGATTCCAGCCTACTCTTCTGGGTATAGTTCAAAAAACCTACACTTTACTTTGCAGAAATAATTGAAAAAGAGGAACAAAAGATACTATGAAACTGCATCTTTACCATCTTACATGTAAATAAAGGATTAAAGTATATATTAAAACTCATTAACATATCAAACCATAAGAAGGTTATATCTGTTTTTCACTATGTGGATGATAACTTGGCATTGTGATAAGAAAAATTATCACAATATTAGATAATAGTCAGTGACATAGTACTTGTCCCCATGTGTGTAAAAAAGGCTGAAAATGATAGAATGAAGGTGAAAATAAGGCATTGTTTTATCTATTTTTAAAATATCTAGTTGTAAGATTAAATGTCTTTTTTCTTCTTATGATCCTGGATTTTTAAACTTGTTATTTTCTTTTGATTTTTTTTCAATCAACTTGATTCCTTACTACATTTCTCTTCCAGATTTCAAAGGAATGTGAAAAATTATATTTCCATATTCAAAATGCATTTTTATCTTCTTTGAAAACACCATCTTAACAATGGATAAAATCAGCTAATATTGAAGAGACTCTACCAAAGCAGGGAAGAGGTGGTAACATTATAAAACTGGTATAGCATGTGCTTACATTTAAATATAAAGAGTGCCACTTATTTGAATCTGAGATTTAAATTGAAGTGTGCAGTCCTTGTCTTGGGATAGAAAAGTTTACCACATGCTCCAAATTTGTCAACAAATCAGCAAATATAAACCAGGCTGGACACAAATGGTATACAAATATACAATGACTTTCCTGAATGGCAAGTTTATTATTCAATCTAACAGAGAAAGACTGGCAAAATAATCCCTTAAACTTATTTCCTACTGTGCTAGTTTTTTTTTTCTTTAAACAATATTACAATAATATAAAAATACTACCAAAAGTTCTATAAAATAAAATTACAAATAAGTTCAAATTTCCATTGTTTTAACATATCTTAATTTTTGCGAATGCTATAATTCAGTTATTAAAATTTTTTTCATAGTTTTAATAAAAATCCATACTTTGCTTGTTTGTTTCATTTAGCATTTCTATGAGGAATTTTGAAAAAATGGTTTAGTTTGCCATCTGCCTCTTTCAGGTAACAATTTGAGGCCATTAATAAAAATTTATTCTGTATAACATAAAACAAACAAAAAATGCTTTTAATATATGGCTAACACTGCCTTGGGGGTCTGTTGGACAGTAGTAGCAATTAGGTCCTATACTGCAGGATGAAATTGTGGAATTATCTGGCAGTGAAGAGTTATGAGATATTTTGAATAGATTGAGATGCAAAACTTCAAAAAGAAATCCACATGGGCAGAGTGTGGCACAAAAAAGGAATATAACATATTGTTAATTGATCTTGGTAAGCATCCATGTGTTTGTTGTGTAAGCATCCATGACTTTGCTCCTTTCCCAGTATTATCCAGTCTCCTCTACTCCTTTTTATACAGCTATAGCTCTCTAACTCACATTAAGTTAATGTGCTATAGCAGATTAAATTGCTGGCATTTCGTTATTTGAGGTCAAGTCATCATTATCTTTGTTTTGGTTAAGTCACCTTGAGGTTCTCTTTAGCTATGCAAATATGACTCTTAACACCAATTTTTCTAAGAAAAAGTAACCTTTTCTTTAAAATGCATGCCAGTGCACAGTGGGAAGCTAAGTCTTCATTTATTCCCTTCAGTATTCAATGAGACTTTGATAAGTCTGTGCCTTCGAAGGAGAGAAAAGGTAGGTATCCAGAAAAAACTAGACAGAACTGTTGGTGACCACAGCCTACGAACACCAACATGTGCACACGAGAACACACACTTAAATTCACATGCATACACATACACACTTATTATGAATAATCACAAAACAAGACTTCAAAAAATGCAACATAGACAAATCATTCCCAAACTTTGGCATGCATCAGAATCATCTAAAGGGCTCAGTAATACACATATTCTTGGTGTTGACCACTAGTGTTTCTCACATAACATATCTGGGAAGGTGCCCGGTATTAATAGTTTCGACAAATCTCCAGGTGATGCTGCTGCTCTGGGACAACGCTTTAAGAACCATTGATATTGACTACTGTGATTGCTTATTGCTGTAGAACTTGCTTCAGTAATAGTAGAGTGGGAGGCGAGTGTGCCACTACCTATAAAAATTTGGTAGGGGAGTACATTTCTTCCACCGATGGTACCTGATGCTATATCCTCTGACATATGTGAGACACTGCTAGGACAGTGGAAACAGTAAAGGTAAATAAACTTCTTTGCCACACTGCTAAGACAGCCCTAAATTTTGTGTGGCCCTATGCAGCACTGATTAACTGCAAAATTAAGAATAAAACGCTTAGGATGACTGATGGGACACTCCAGAATAGAAACTGAGACTAATCCCTTTGGAATGAAGAAACTGCCTTGGAGTTCCTCTGGAGTATCTGATGAGGGCTGCCAAGGAGAAGAGTAAACTTTTTAAAATTCAGAGAATCAGGCTCAGAATCATAGTAACTTAAATATTAAAAGAATTGTCATTGTATATTGCCATATACAGTCATGCCACTAACATCTCAACCAGTGACATTTCTGATAGTGGTTGACCCGTAACATTGTAATACTGTATTTTTACTGTATTTTACTTTTCTACATATAGATATGTTTAGATACACAAGTGCTTATCATTGTGTTACAATTGCCTACATTATTCAGTATTCAGCACAGTAATGTGCTGTATAGGTTTTTAGCCTAGGAATAATAGTCTCCACCATATAACCCTGGCAATAATGGGCTATACCACGTAGGTTTGTGTAAATAGACTTTATACTGTTCCTACAACTACAAAATCACCTAAAGATGCACGTCTCAGAACATATCCCATCATTAAGTGATACATGACTGCCTATCAATTAAAGTTGCGTAAGTGTGCTACAAACAGCTGCCCTCTCCATGAAGCAGATAGTGATGAATACAGTAGAAGTGTACTTAGATGAGAAACTTGGCCAATCTGATATAAGTTCCATCATCACAGTAATTTTTCATGTTTTTAACTATTTTTATATTTTATTATAATGATGTAAGTCCAAAGAAATTGACTTGTGATATAAACAATAAAGCTCCAGAAATATTCATAATCTGTTTAAAAACTCAGATAAAATAAGTTGATTATATTCTAGACTGACAAAAATAATACTTTGCCATTTTTAACGTAATTGCCAAGTAAAGCAAATTAGAACAAAATGAATTTGCAATGATTGTTCAAGACAGATCAGGGAAAGTGACTGATATAACAATAAAGTACAGATATGAAAGCAAAAACACTACCTACAAAATAATGAGATAGAAAAAAAAACTGGACAAACAAGCAAAAGAAAACTCGGGAAAAAAAGGCAAAGAAATTGCTGACCACATTCTCTCTTGCTCTTTGTTAGTTGTGGCAGCATGTACAGTTTTAACGAAACATTTCAGGTTACAGCTCAGTAAGAATAGTATTTCTATATGCTAACTTCAATCAATTAGTGATCTTCTTCCCAACCCCACATAATTCCAGATTCATTAAGTCAGGAAAAATGTAAAACCATGGAAAGATACTCCTTTCAGAATTAAATTCTAAATTCTTCCCCATCAATAGCTTCTTCAGCGATCTCAGACAAGTTACCGAACTTTTCAATGCTTATGTTTTTTCTCAGCTGTAAAGTTGAGGGAATCACAATGACCTATCTTGCACACTTGATGAAGAGAGCATCTGATAAAAAGGAAACAAAAAAAGAGCCATTGTCTAGGTCTGAGGTGACATGTGCAAAAAGAATGCTACCATCTTTGCCTCTTGGCAAAGGGGGACAGAGGGAAAGATGAAACACTTTTTCAGTGCTTTGGCATTTGGTATATGATCTGTCCATATGTCCCAAACTTAAATTCAGAGTCTCTACCAGCAAAAGCAACTGCTTTTATTTCTTCTTAATCAGTAATGCGTTTCTCCCCCAAGGTATTTACAATGTAGAATAAAACTACAGCTGCAGAATTGAACGATTCCTTATTTTTATATGTGCCTATTAATGAGTTTTAATAATTTTGGGCTCCGATCATACTATTACTAGCAATGGTCATTACACATGCCAAATTAAGATCCTCAAACATTGAGGCAGTCAGTCTAAAACTACATTTGTGTTGAATAAGAGTGATGTGGAGCACTATTTCCTCTGAATTTGTTTACTCACAGCTGAAAATCCCTCAGTGGTATGACCTTTATATTCAGCATTTAAAAAGCTTAACAATACTTTCCCCCAGCAGCTTAAAGCAGGAGATAATTCTTTCCCAGGAGAAAATACAATTAAAATGCTGCAACGCCTGTTGGAGAAGTGAAAGCAAGGATAATGACAGCTATAATAGACCAAATAATTGTGTTAATTATTTATTTGTTTGCAGTGGAAGGCTTTCAATATTTATTGTGCTCAGTTCAATTTGATAGTACTTTTGTCATACCTGTAGCTTCATCTAGGACAGGACTATCCAGTCTCAAATGAGAGGCAATTGCTTACAAATTTAATAGTCGAATGTATTCATTCATCTGTAATGTAAATATCTAAAAATGAACAATTTAGTTTGGGGAAAATAAACCTTGAAACATTTTTAGTTGTTCTTTGCAAATTGTTGGTAAGCATGTGCACACACATACACCACACACACACACACACACACACACACACACACACACACACACACCAGGTATTATTCTTTGTCTGGTCAAGGACTGACTTCATGGTTTCCACGGCAACCCAGTTTGCTCAGTGCTCTCTTTCAGCAGCTGCTGATTACACTTTGAATTTTATTTGCATTCATGATTAAGGAGGAGTATAAAAGACTGAGGTAAATTTTTTTAAAAAAGCAACGAGGATAGAAGACATTTCAGTCAATGACTCTCTGCAGCTTTAATTAAAAATAAAAGAATAAGAGGAGATACCAGGATTTCAGGAACTTTTATTTAATGGTTGACTGGCTATTGCAACAATATTAAATGAAGATGCCACTACCAAACTGAACTTCTGCAATTTGCAGGGCTATACATTGTTAGCTACTAAGACCATGTAGACAATTTTTGTTTTCCAGTAATGGTCTCTTTGCTTTCAGAAAACAATAAACACATATTTCTAGGACTGGATTAAGATAAAACAACTTAAAAATATTTACTACAGTATAATTTGTTGAAATCATGCATTGTACCTTCAGGAAGAATGCTCTTTAATATAAAATGTCACTTGTACTTGGCCTTTTTAAATGCACAGAAATTTATTCTACCAATAATAACATAGGAAAAGAAAGTGCAGTAATTACTAGTGATTAACAGAGCATAAATAGAAAGATAAGAACTCTGGGTTGGAAACATGGAACTCTATTGAGTAAGACTGTAGCATTTTGAAATACTACCTTTGGTTATGTGTAGCATTATTTGCTAAGAAAATGTAAAATAACTATGATAATCACATATATTTATATTAGTGAGCAAAAAAAATTGGAAGAAAAATATTTTTAATTATACCATTTATAAGTAACAAATATTTTTCATTTCCCTGGGTTCCCTTGATATACTTCCAAAAAAACACTGTTTTCTTAAAATAGCAATAAATATATATTTAATTATTTTATTCTGCTGGAAACTTTTCCCTTTGGACAAAAATTGTGGCCTAAAGTTTGTGTTAATGCATTAATTTTTTTGGGGGGGGGATAATTTCAGACTCACATTTGTTAAGTTTAAACTAATGAAGTTCAAATCAATGAAATAATATTTTGAATTGTAATTAGTAAAAGAACAAAGAAAACAGAGAGTCAAAAGTGAATACATAAAAATTATAATGTTTCATTATTTTGGACATAACTGAATCTGCGTGCACATATCCTAGAAAATTTGATATTTAATTATGTTTATGAGGGTCTTGCATTTTTATTTGTTACATAAATAAATGAGAATGCTGTTAGGTGGCAAAACCATACTGTTAATGTATTATTTTGAAATTCATAACTTATTTTAAAACAGAATAATAATTTACATGCTATAATAAAAGAGTGCAGAATCTGAAGAAACATATCATTCTATAATGCTTTGTGGAGCCCTTAATTCCCATTATTTTATTGCTTTAATAATTTAGTATTATTAGAGATGTTATTCTGTTTAACTTGTCCTTCTAATATGGACATATTCACCCAGATGAATTCTACTTTAGAATGCTAGAGCTTGCTCTGAAGCAGAGGCCACCAAGGAAATCAAAGCCTTTTAATAAACCCAGGGGCCATATTTAACATTTGTCTCAATAACTCTGTGTTTTCCTTGCCATACTAGGTCCTAGTGAATTGAAACCTTCTTCCTATTACATTCTTAACTATATTCAGATAAAATCATGCTCCGGAAAAGGAAATGTCAAGGCTGCCTGGACCATAAAACTTACAACTACTGTCTTTCCCTTTAACAAAAAGTATAGAGTCTAAGTCTCCATTAAGAAAAAAATTAGGGATTTGCTTTCTCTTCCCTAGCCTATCTTGCTGTAATTTGTATCTCCTTTATCCTATGTACCTATCCAGATGAAAATTTTATAATAAGTGGACAGGAACATTTTCTGCAGCTTTACTTTCACACAAATAATTTTTATGGGGGTTTGGGGCGAAGGAAGCATTTTTGAAAAGGGAAAAGTTCCTCATTCACTTTTAAGCATTAGGTCAAATAACTGTGATTTTCAGAAGTCAGTGATTTGCCACAGACGGAAGTTTGTTCAGAAGTCCCACAGAGAGGGAACCAGATACCTGAGAAGGTATCCTGAGAAGAGAATCAGGTACCTGACTCTCCAGGCAGACTAGGACCCTCACTGAAAAACGGAGGGAAAACTAAAGAAATTAGAAAGGCATAGGTATGCTATAAAGCAGAAAAGAGCTGAAAACCAGAGAAAGGATAAAAACTGCACTCCTCCTCATGAAATGACAATGAGTGCTTCCTGTATGCGCCAAAAATTCAGAACAATAGAGACTGGCTGGCACCCAGATGCTGAAATCTGACATGAGCTGCTAGCCAGCTGACAGTGGGGCACACGTGACTTACTAAAAATGACAACAGGGGCACCGTCATCCTGAGTGGGGCAACTAACATATTCAGCAAAGACCCTTTACTGGAAAACCCACACTGTTTGACCTGTTAGCCTATGGGCCATCAATATACTTTGTGATTTTAATTTCCAGTTTCCAAAAATATACTCCATTTCTCTCCCTGGAGCCTTCAACACCCAGAACTTCACCTTTGAACTGGCTTAGAAAACAATCTTAGGTCTCAGAGTCTTATTTTTTTCCTTAGATGAGTGTTTTTTTTGTTTGTTTGTTTGTTTTTTAAGTCATCAGAGTGACCTAGGGGAGAAATTAGAGTATTCATCTACCTGGGGTCAACTGTAACATGTGCTTGGTGTTAGGAATCAATGGAAGAGATAGTTTCTCTAGCCATCTAGAGAAAATGAACAAAGATTTGGCCATGTGGGAAGAAGTGAATGCTTGCTTCCAGGAACACTGGACTAATGTTGTTAAATATCATTTTGAACTGATTAAATTTATTCACAATTCTATGATAAGTACAATAATTCTGATTTTTGAGGTATGTGTATATATGTGTGGAGAGATTAAGTGAATTATTGCCAGCAATGCCAGTTTCTTGTAAGAATACAGTAAAAAAAAAGGATGGTATAATGGCACTGCAGTCCAAATATAACAGTACATCAGCAACTAAATATTTAGTTTAGATTTATAGAAAAATCAAGAGGACAGTAGAAAAATCCCATATATCCTATAGTCAGTTTCTGCTATTATTAACATCTTATATCAGTATAATACATTTGTTATAATTGATGAACCAATATTGACACATTATTGTTAACTAAAGTTCACAGTTTATTTTGGTCTCCATAGCTTTTACTTAATGTCTTTTTTCTGTGCCAGAATTCCAACCAGGCTACCATACTCCATTTAGCTGGAATATCTCTTTATGCTCCTCTTGGATGTGGCAGTTTCCCACACATTCCTTATTTTTTTATAACCTTGTCAGTTTTGAGGAGTACTGGTTAGCTGTTTTGTAGGATGTTTCATTTTGGTATTAATCTGGTATTTTTCTCATGACAGGACTGGAGTTATGGGTTATTAGAAGGAAGACCACATAAGAGATGTGCCATTTTCATCACATCACATTATCATATTAAGTGTCCATACTATCAACATGATTTATTACTACTAATGTCCACATTGATTACATGGCTGATGTCAAGTGCCCCTTTTCTTTGAGATAGGAGTAGCCACATAAATTATTTGGGATTCTTCTGCTTGGGAAATGTGTCTCTTCTTTCCTGTTTATTATTCATTTATTTGTATCAGTATGGGCATATATTTCTTATGAAGTCAACTAAATTTTAATAGCTTCCATACAAGACATAAGGCATAAAAGCAAAGCTAAATGGCAACTTAGTATGAAAATGGTTGCTTAGTGCATTCAAAAAGAATCTGATTTAGAAACAACACTTGCCAATACAAGGTAGAGTTGGCAAGATGGGGAAGTGTTTCCTTACAGGAAGAGAAAAGAGGATCAGTGGATTGTTGACTGAAAACTACTCTGATTAAAATACGAGTACAGAATAATATATGAGAATATTCTTTCAGATACTAAAAAGAATTTGAAATGTAATTAAATTTGTTTCTGTAAACTTTCTAAACTTTTTATATACATACAACAAGGTGGCTAAGATGGTTATGAGAATCTTCTCTGTTGAAATTCCTTCAGCTTTCACTTTTATCTTGAAATCTTACACTATTTTTCTCTACATTGCCCTTTAGGTAAAAGAAGAATGTGAACTTTAAAAGAAATTCAGTGGGGGAATCCTGGCATTTTTATTCCAAAAGCTAGATGCCAGATGCCTGAAGAACGACCGACAGAGATTGTTATTGGTCATCACTGGTCATGGCTTAAATGTGCAAAAAATGTAATATCATGAGGGAAAGAGGAGCAGGTGAGAAACTGAAAACACTAGAAGAGCATTTCATGGTTATAGGAAGATGTGATTTATGGATATAAAGTTCCTGAAAATAAATGTTTATTACCTGGATTCAAATACACAACAAATATTCAGTTCATTTTCTATTAATGACCTTATATTCTAGGAGACTTCCAAGCATTCTACAAGTGTTTCTATCTTTGGTTGACATTCTTATCAATTATAACATTTTTTTAAAGACTTTGGGGGATTAATCCCACTCAACTCAATTATTGATTTTACTGCTATCATACTGTATTTTAAACATTAGAACATTATACAGCCCCCATAAATACTTGGCTTAGAAAATAACTACTCATGGCATACAGTTCATTTTAATGATCTTCATTTCTTCAGAATGTTTATAAACACACACACAGTGGGAAAAGTAAGTGTGAGAGAATAAAGTTTCGTATTATCAATTGGTAGGCAGAAATCATTTACAGAATGGTATTTTGGTCTGTAACGCTGGAGTGGGAAATGAGAAAGATGCTGGACAGGCCCCAGTTCAAAGTACAAGATGCCAAGGGCAAAGTGAGGTTAATAAAAGTAAGTTTTAAGCCTGTATTTATATTTGAATTATTACCCCCATATTTTTCCCAAACATTTAAATGTCCCCTGTTGTTTGTCTTCTGTTTCATGGCAATATTTCTTTCTTTACTATAAAAGGGAATGTGAAAAACTTCTATAATATCTAAAGCTCCTTTGTTAACTGGATGAAAGCAAAGTTATTTTGGTCTCAAAAATAAATTAATACATACATAGATACATATATAGAAATATTAAGCTGTCATAATACAAAGGAGTAAAACCATAAAACTGAGGGAAACTAGGCAGATACCACATGAGCAGATGCACCAGGAAGCCAAAGCAGTATTAGGAGCAAAAAGAGAGATGAAGACAAAAGATAAAGAGGGAACATAGACCAAGGCCAACTAGACAAAAGGCAAGAGTTTACTGTCTATCTGCGGGGTTGCCTGTAGAACCTTTGAATTATGAGATATCTATATACATGAAACAGAATTAGACATAGTCGATTCTGCACTCTGCCAGATTTTCTCCAGCTTGCGTATAGTGCCTTATGAGCAGCAGCATCCCAGAAATATCACTGTTCATCTATCTTCATGGCCTACACAAAAATATAACACAGGGAGCTAGATGCAAGAAACAGTTTCTTGATAACTATAAGGGAGTGCACTAGCTTAAATTATGAGCTATTTTCTCTCAATCTTCATTAGCATTTATTTAATTAAAATCTTTTCTGAGTGTCCTAAAGCCATAACATAATCAATGCCCAGAAAGCTTCCAATGTGAATCTTTAGGATATACACTGCATATTTTAAATGTCCAGGACACTAATGATACCTTGCCATGATCACAAATGTCCTGAAGCATACACAAGGTTGCCATAATCTCTTCCAGGCCATGAGGTTATCATCTACATGATTATTACTTGAATACATTTAAATGATCACTTATGCACCTTGTAAAAACTTTCAAGTTACTCTCAGAAAGTATGTACAAGAAACAGTGACTTAAATAACCAGAATGCTTATGGTTGCTTAAGCAACAATAACAAAATCTCCTATTTTCTCTTTGATTTTTCAACATTAATATAGATGACTGATGCAAAACTAATATCACTTTAACTTTACTGCAGATCAATTTGAACATTTATTCCTTATAAATGCTTATTCTACATTCTTTAAAAAAGATTTCTTCTTTCCTATATTTGAACGTGGTTCTGAAATATCTCTTTTGCAAACGTAATGGACAATAGTGTCCTTTAGCTAAGTGTTTTTGGAAAAAAAAAAGATGCTTTTTAAACTAAAAGTATCTTACCTCATCGAGATCCCATTCTTTTCAAATGTAATATATAAATTGCTAAATATCTTCCAAAGATATAACAACGTTTCTAAGTTTCTGTTCTTGAAGATTGTGCAATGCCTAATGAGAAATAAACTGAAGATGTCAAATTCTAACAATTTGTATAAACTCTACGAAGCTTTCTCCATGTCTAAATCAAAGGATCATTTTGGGATTAAAGTCTTGATGAGTGAGGTTTGTTAAGATTGAGAAATACTTGTTGGTTTTCTGCAGTTATCTAAATAATTTTGGAAATTTAGAAGACAGTAGTCTTCTACTATACTGCTTGTTGTACTATCACTTTCTTCATTACTTTTTCATGTAAGGTTTTCTTCACTTATAACTATAAACTACTTAAGGGTAGAGACATTTGTCTTTTTTTATTTTTATATATATATATTTTTAATTATACTTTAAGTTCTAGGGTACATGTGCACAACGTGCAGGTTTGTTACATATGTATACATGTGCCATGTTGGTGTGCTGCACCCATTAACTCATCATTTACATTAGGTATATCTTCTAATGCTATTCCCTCCCCGCTCCCCCCACCCCACGACAGGCCCCGGTGTTTGATGTTCCCCTTCCTGTGTCCAACTGTTCTCATTGTTCTATCTCTTGCATACCTATGATAAGCAGATTCCAATTACATGTTTGATATTTGATCACATCACTCCTCATTTTAAACTTCATCTTCAAGAAAACACACCATGCTCTTTTACATAAACCTATGTGTTCTGTGAACCTACTATCACACTTTCGGAAATAAACTCCCTTCCACCCCTTATTCTAGAGATGAATTTGTATTTCTCCTTTTAGAGATGGTTTGGCCATAGTCTGTGAAGCCATTGCAGACTGACTTTGTGCTCTCTACTCTTTCCTACATTTTCACCATTGTGTAATGTTTTATATGACGTATTGCACCATTTATGTGTCTGTATCTCTTCCTTATGATCTATAAGTTTATTGAGGGCAAGGATTATCTCTTTTACTCTATATGTTAATGGTATCTAAAACCTGGTAGAAGGTCAATCAGCAAGTATCAAATTGTTAAAATCACTTAACTCTGGGCTTTATAAACTGCAGTTTGATTTCTGAATGATCTTGAAAGTTACCAACAAACACTTAATTGCTAAATCCATAATTCATTTTCAGTCAATAGGTATAAAAGAAACTTTGTCATTATACTCAAGTCTCTTATGCTAGTTAATCTTATTCATTAACAGACCTTGATATCTTGCCTAGCAAAGATAAAGGAATTATCTGCTGGGAAAAATATTTATCTTCTATAATCAGACACTCAAACTATTGTTTCTTTTTTCACTCCTCTAAAATATGTCCTCCTAATTGGCAGCTAAAGTATAGGCCCTCATAATCTCATGACTGTATTACTGCAATAGTAAGCAATACTGGTCTCTTTGTTGCCTGCCTGCTCTTTTTTCAAGAGTGGCTACTTGGCCTAATATCTAGTGAAGTAAAGTTATGGTATGGTCTCTTTCATGTAAAAATATCAATGATTTATTCACATAGGTCTTAATGAGCTAAAATAGTTGCTAGGAATGTAATTTCTCATTTTATCTCTCTATCTCTCTCTCTATATATCTATATATATATGCATATATATATGCATATATATATAGATATATAGAGAGAGAGATAGAAATATAGAGATAGAAATATATATATATATATAGAGAGAGAGAGAGAGAAAAGATTCATCATGTTTGCATAAGATAGCTTCCCATCCAATAGGCTACAGTCTTATAGACACTGATTCTCTCTATTAGATATAACTGGTCTCCATTACAAAACAGCTCACTTCCTGGTTCCTCCTTACTTCAGAGACACTAGTAAAGCCTGCTGTATTCCAACTAATGAGGACAGATATGTAATATATATACATGTATATATGTATGTATGTATATATACACATATATATAAAATTATACTTTAAGTTCTAAGGTACATGTGCAGAATGTGCAGGTTTGTTAAATAGGTGTATATATATATATATATATAGAGAGAGAGAGAGAGAGAGAGAGAAAGAGAGAGAGAGAGAGAGAGAGAGAGATTTAAAATATATTATTTAAAATATATATTTTAAGATGTATATTTCGGCCGGGTGCAGTGGCTCATGCCTGTAATCCCAGCATTTTGGGAGGCTAAGGCAGGCAGATCACGAGGTCAGAAGATTGAGACCATCCTGGCTAACACGGTGAAACCCCGTCTCTACTAAAAATACAAAAAAATTAGCCAGGCATGGTGGCGGGCACCTGTAGTCCCAGCTACTCAGGAGGCTGAGGCAGGAGAATGGTGTGAACCTGGGAGGCAGAGGTTGCAGTGAGTCGAGACCACGCCATTGCACTCCAGCCTGGGTGACACAGAGAGACTATGTCTCAAAAAACAAGCAAACAAACAACAACAACAAAATATATATGTGTGTATATTTTTGTCACTAAAGTAATGCCAAAAACCACAGTTACTTTTGCACCAACCAAGTAGAAGTTAGGGCTCTACTCAGTACAATTCTTCACACATCAGAATATTTCATAATAGAAATATTAACTATTTCATTACTGATTATGTAAAATGTGATTTTTTCAGGAGTTTTGAGCACAATAGCAGTTTTTATTAAAAATATGCTAAGGTAGTCTTTTGCCATTCATATTGCTATCATTTAAAACATGAGTTAGTTTTCATCATTTGTACATAGTGACCCACATTTGAGAGGTTAATGTTAAGAATTAAAGCTCCCCTCATATAAGTTTAACTACATGTTAAGAATTAAAGTTCCCCTCATATGAGTTTAACTACAACTCAATGAATTAAGTTAGAAATCTGAAATGTCAACTTTCAGAGATTGTAAGACTCCTTGAAACCAGTGACAGTTGACACTAACCTAAGTAATGGTATTAACAAGTTTAAAGAAGGAATATGCCAGTCAAAAAATGTGAGAAGTTCGCCATTCTGCAAGATCTCATTAAGAGAGAATTGTGAGAAAAAAGAAATCTAAGCAGTGCCCTGTAAGTTACCAACACAATATTTTTATACTTTGATTTATACATCAGTCTCTGAGAATTTAGTTCACCTGATTCTCCCACTAGATGATACACTATCAGTATGCAAACAAAATCAGATTTGCTAATTTCAGCTACCTTGAATTCATCAAGATAATATCAAACTCTTAATTCCCTTCACTAATAATATTTTATTTATTTATTGAAACACTGAAAATTCTCTATTATTTCAAGCTTTCAAATTCTGTTGTGTGAAATCTGATTTTTGTTCTTAATTTTACAATCGCTACCATTCCTTTACCCTTATTTTACAGTTTCAGGTTTTCATATGATCTCTGACAATGTTTCAGATCCAAGATAACCACTGCTGGAAACCCTAATGAACTTAACCAGAAAGATAGAATGCAAAAGTAGGATCCAGAAAGATGCCATAAATACAGCTCCTTGTAAATTCGCCGACCTCGAAAATTTCTTAAAATTTTATAACAGATACAGTGGGACTTTCTAAAAGGAGATGAGTTATTGAACTTAATAATTATTAATTTCTTACCTAACAACAGGTATTCATTATTTCAAAAGTATTGGGCATTTCAAGAGTGCTTATTCTCAGTGTAACACTGTTCCGACCGATTTTTCATTGTTAAAATACCCAGTGACTCATTGAACAAGTGAAAATACACAAAGACTTAAATTATCACAGTTAACCAGGACAGAATTAATATGATATCCATTCTGATGAATTCTGGTCTAATTGTTCTTACTGATAATAACCACATACCCTTTACATTATTGTGGTTTGGAAGAGGGGAAGAAGAAAAAGAATACACTTTACAGTATACTTCTGACAATTAAATCTTGTTAAACTTCAAGACCAAACTGATGCCCTAAAATTTCTGTCACCATCTTGGTCCAGAAATACTTTTCAAATCTCAAATTGTTTGCACAATTAAAAACAACTTATATTTATTAGTTACTGCTTTCATTGTTAGTGATGTTTTCTTTCTTTTTTTTTTTTTGTGATTCTGTAACTCCTGCTTTTAATGACTATGCAGGTTGCTTCCCAAACACATCAATTTTAAGGTTATTATAACTAATGAGAAACTTGTTAGTTTTTATATTAAAGTAAATGAAATTGAGTGTTTATATATTTGCTCTATCTATCCTATACACATCTTCCTGAATTTTAAAAGAACACAGAACATAAATCAGTCCAATGAACTAAATCTAAACTACATAGAAAATGAACAAGAATAAAACAGAATTTAAGGTCCAAAATAACTTGGGAGATCAACTAAATTCCTGTGCATTTGACTAGAAGAAACAATCCAGAGAAAGAAGCGGTCTTACCTAAGATACAAAGGAGATTTGAGTTATGTAGCCCAACTTTTTGCACACTAATACCATATATTTTCAGAAAGTAGAAATGGACGTTAATTGAGCACTTACATGTGTTAGGCACTGTGCAGTATGGTTACTGTCAAGCTGAGTATTGTTATTAACCCATGTACAGATGAGAAAACTGAAGCATAAACATGCCCAAGGACCAAGGTTAGTATGAGCCGGGATTTGAGTTTAGCTGTAGACTGCATTGAACTCAGAATTTAAAAGATTCATCATATTTGCATAAGATAGCTTCCCATCCAATAGGCTACAGTCTTATAGACACTGTTGCCCTCTGTTAGATATAACTGGTCTCCATTACAAAACAGCTCACTTCCTGGTTCCTCCTTACTTCAGATACACTAGTAAAGCCTGCTGTATTCCAACTAATGAGGACAGATATGTAATATATATACATGTATATACGTATGTATGTATATATACTATATATATAATTATACTTTAAGTTCTAAGGTACATGTGCAGAATGTGCAGGTTTGTTAAATAGGTATACATGTGCCATGGTGGTATGCTGCACCCATCAACCCATCATCTACATTAGGTATTTCTCCTAATGCTATCCCTCCCCTAGCCACCCACCCCCAGACAGGCCCCGCTGTGTGATGTTCCCCTCCCTGTGTCCATGTGTTCTCATTGTTCAACTCCCACTTATGAGTGACAACATGCGGTGTTTGGTTTTCTGTTCCTGTGTTAGCTTGCAGAGAATGATGGTTTCCATCTTCATCCATGTTCCTGCAAAGGACATGAACTCATCCTTTTTTACAGTTGCATAGTATTCCATGGTGTATATGTGCCACATTTTCTTTATCCAGTCTATCATTGATGGACATTTGGGTTGGTTCCAAGTTTTTGCTATTGTGAATAGTAACCCAATAAACATATGTGTGCATGTGTCTTTATCATAGAATGATTTATAATCCTTCGGGTATATACCCAGTAATGGGATTGCTGGGTCAAATGGTATTTCTAGTTCTAGATCCTTGAGGAATCGCCACACTGTCTTCTACAATGGTTGAACAAATTTACACTCCCACCAAGAGTGTGAAAGCATTCCTATTTCTCCACATCCTCTCCAGTATCTGTTGTTTCCTGACCTTTTTTTTTTCTTTTGAGACAGAGTCTCACTCTGTCACCCAGGCTGGAGTGCAGTGGCACAATCTCAGCTCACTCTAAGCTCCGCCTCCTGGGTTCACGCCATTCTCCTGCCTCAGCCTCCCGAGTAGCTGGGACTACAGGTGCCCACCACCACGCCTGGCTAATTTTTTGTATTTTTTAGTAGAGACAGGGTTTCACCATGTTAGCCAGGATGGTCTCGATCTCCTGACTTCATGATCCACCCGCCTCGGCCTCCCAAAGTGCTGAGATTACAGGCGTGAGCCACCACACCTGGCCTGTTTCCTGACTTTTTAATAATCGCCATTCTAACTGGCATAAGATGGTATCTCATTGTGGTTTTGATTTGCTTTTCTCTAATGACCAGTGATGATGAACTCTTTTTCATATGTTTGTTGGCTACATAAATGTCTTCTTTTGAGAAGTGTCTGTTCATATCCTTTGCCCACTTTTTGATGGGGTTGTTTTTTTTAGAATACAAAATCAATGTGCAAAAATCACATGCATTCCTATACACCAATAACAGACAAACAGAGAGCCAAATTATGAGTGAACTCTCATTCACAAATGCTACAAAGAGAATAAAATACTTAGAAATACAACTTACAAGGGATGTGAAGGACCTCTTCAAGGAGAACTACAAACCACTGCTCAAGGAAGTAAGAGAGGAAACAAACAAATGGAAAAACATTCCATGCTCATGGATAGGAAAAATCAACACTGTGAAAATGGCCATACTGCCCAAAATAATTTATAGATTCAGTGCTATCCCCATCAAATTACCATTGACTTTCTTCACAGAATTGGAAACAAACTACTTTAAATTTCATACTTTAAATTTGGTTTCATATGGAACCAAAAAAGAGTCTGCATAGCCAAGACAATCCTAATAAAAAAGAAGAAAGCTGGAGGGATCACGCTACCTAACTTCAAACTATACTACAAGGCTACAGTAACAAAAACAGCACGGTACTGGTACCAAAACAGATATAGACCAATAGAACAGAACAGAGGCCTCAGAAATAATGCCACACATCTACAACCATCTGATCTTTGACAAACCTGACAAAAACAAGCAATGGGGAAAGGATTCCCTATTTAATAAATGATGTTGGTAAAACTGGCTAGCCATATGCAGAAAGCTAAAACTGGACCACTTCATTACACTTTATACAAAAATTAACTCAAGAGAGATTAAAGACTTAAACGAAAGACCTAAAACCTTAAAAACCCTAGAAGAAAACCTAGGCAATACCATTCAGGACATAGGCATGGGCAAGGACTTCCTGATGAAAACACCACAAGCAATAGCAACAAAAGCCAAAATAGATAAATGGGATCTGATTAAACTAAAAAGCTTCTGCACAGCAAAAGGAACTATTATCATAGTGAGCAGGCAACTTATAGAATGGGATAAAATTTTAGCACTCTATCCATCTGACAAAGGGTGACGTTTTCTTTAAAGTCTGTGTAACTTTAATAGAGAAGGTTTATGAATATACTTATTTTGTTCTTTCTCCTTCCTCAAGAAGTAACTAGCTCAACATTTTTAAAACAATTTTGGAATTTAAGGTAATAGGGACTTGAGAGTTCATCAGATTTTTTATCCTTAAATAGAGAAATTACATGCCAGAGAAATCTGGTATTTTCTAAATGTTCAAAAATGTGCTGATCTTCGAAGTAAAATAAAAACAATTTGAGTGTCTATCCATATTATCTTTATCAACTGTGCTGAAAAATTAAGAAATACTACAGACTTCTGTAATTACCAGAAGAGCTATATATCCTAGGACCAACAATCTGTAGATTTACTGCTTTGTACCTTTCCTAACGTGAATTCTTTGCCAATTGTTATATTTAGTTAATTGAAGGGTTAATGTTTATCCTATGTTATCAAGTGTTTAGATAAAAGAATGGAGAAATAGCTTATTTCCTCATACAGAATAAAAAAAATTCGCTATTTTTTAGTACAACTTTATGGCCATACTATGTTAAAATGTAACACCACTACCAAATAATCAGAGCTCAGTGGAATATACACATTCCCTGATAGTATGGGAACACTGAAAAATGTGACATAAGTATTGCTAGTAATACATAAAAGAAAGTAAATTACACTTGATTTTGGTGACAGTTTAAGGGCATCTAAAAGCTTTGCTGTGTTTTCTGATAACATTATTGGCTAACTTCCTTATCTTTTTATGACTATTAGCAAAAATAATAAAGGAAAGCAAAAACACTTTTCTCTGAAAGCCATTATTATATTTTAAATTATTTTGATTTTCATTAATATGTTTATAATAAAACTTAATTTTCCTAGAGTATTTGTTTCTATATTAAACTGATTAAGTTTGTTTACTTGAAATACAGGATTGTTTTACCATAAGAAATAAGAGCACAGAGTGCACAAATGGGTGGCAGGGGAGTAGGAGATCCAAACACTAAATTATATGGCATCATATGTAAATGCTCATTTTTAATACTATATAAGTTGGAGAGTTGCTGTGCTGGCATCAGTTTGTACTCCTACCATCTGTAAAGGTAAGGGATATAGATTTTTTTCAGTGCACCATGTATACACTACTAGGAGGAGAGAGGTTGTTTTAGGTTATAAGAAGATTATTGCCACCTTTTGGCCCAAAGGCTAAGGGAGAAATCTAAATGACCACCGAAATATAGACTCATTGCCTGATTAAGGTAACCAGAGGTGAGACGTCTCCAGCAACAGGAATTTCCCAAAGATCATAAAGGATCAAAACTAGGCAAAGAATCAACTTTTAAAAGCTTCCTGGTCCACAGAGATTGTGGCTGGCAGCCTCTATGATGTTCCCTGGTTATCCTCATCTCCTAGTATTCAGGCTGTCATATTCCTTCACCTTGAGATTCTGCTGGGCTTAATAACTGGCTACCAAGGAGTAAAACACTACAGAGTAGTGGAATGTCACTCCTGAGATTAGGTTAAAGAGTCCATGCTTACATTTCAGGCTCTGCTCTCTTACCTGTTTGTGGTGAGAGAAGCCAGATATCACATTGTGATCTGCCCTGTAAAGAGGTCCATATGGCAAAGAACTGATTTATCTGACCAATAGCCAGTGAGGATTTGAGGCCTGCCAACAGCCACAAAGTGAGTATGGAAGTGAATCCTCCCCTTGTCAATCCAGTACTTGAGAGGATAGTAGCCTAGGTTATATCTTCATTATGGCCTTGTGAGAGACCCTGACCTAGAACTAGAGGATAAAGGGAAGCCATGCTCAGTTTGCAGGCGACCCACAGAAACAATGAGAAAATTAATCTTTCTTGTAGTAACCTACTAAATGTGGGGGTAACTCATTGCTCAAACAATAAATAACCAATGCAAGATAAAACTAGTTAAAGGCAGGATGCAGTGGATCACACCTGCAATCCCAGCAGTACGGGAGGTCTAGGAGGGCCTGTCACTTGAGCCAAGGAGCTCAAGACCATCCTGGGCAAAAATAGTGAAAACCCATTTCATATAAAAATACGAAAAATTAGCCAGGCATGCTCGTGGTAGTGCACACCTGTAGTCCCAGCTACTTGGGAGGCTGTGATAGGAGGATCACTTGAACCCAGGAGGCGGAGGTTGCAGTGAGCCTAGATGGCACTACTGCACTGCAGCCTGGGTGACAGAGTAAGACTCTGCCTCAGAAAAAAAAAAAAAAAAGCAGACAGTGATAGGGATTAAAAGAAGGGAGAGAGCTTAGGCTTTCTTTAACACACGGACCTGAGCTACAGAGAGAAGAAATATTTTCTTTTATAGCTACTTCTATTTTTTAATGTAGTCGTGTACTGGAAGTTTATTTGCTGAATGGTGACTATGTTGTTTCTTAAAACGACTGAAAGAATGTATACTGTCCAAGAATATGCTGAACACGCACGGGGCCAGCCATGTATTCATGGAGGAAGAACGGAAGTTAACCCCCACTGAGTAAAGTTTATGGAGAGACTCTGAGACTAGAATAAAGTTACATTTTTCATTATGTTCTAAGTTGGGTTTAATATACTGTGTATAAAATTCTCTGGTGATTTTTTTCTGTTGAAACATTGGACAAAGTGAGTTATGTGCCTTGATATTCAGGGGAATAGAGTTTGCCCAGGGAAGAAATAAGAAATGTAATATAATGTCTAGCCTGCACTAAATAAAGGTCACACACTTGTTGGGACATGTTGGTGAGTATATAAGAAAGCATAGTTGGGACAGAAAACAGTTCAAGATCAACAGACGTGCCGTGTAGAAGTCGTGTTCAATGGGCAGTATAACACCTGAGAAAGCATTCCCAGGCAGAGTGAAATATCGTTGTATTGTGCAAGGTGATTGGATTCTTACTATTGTCGGCTTGTTTCCTACTATTCCAAGTTTTTAATCCCTCAGGTTTTGCAGTTCCAAAGCCTAGTTTTAGAAAAAATAAGGTGCTGACGTACAAGGTTTATGTACAAACAACTCTGTAACAACAGATGACAGACTGTCTGCCTTGCCCACATTATTGCCTTCTATTATTTGAGAACCACTGTGGTATTGTTTGGTTTTGTTTTTGTCTGAGTTTTCTTCCCATCTGTCTAAATGTGGTTTGTTGTTAAATGTTACTGGAAATATGTCATGTTGCTTTATTCTTCTTTCCCTATGTTGTTCACCTGCCTGGGTAGCCCGGCAGACTCACTCATATAACATCAACCCAGTAGGTAGCTTGACAGACAGATCAGCTCAAAGGCAGTTCAAAGTTTTCTCCCTCTTGGAAGTCACCCCCTTCAGGGAGAGCTGACGATTCATCTTGGATGTATATTTTTTCATATTGTGATTACCTACTAATCACAACATTCTATGACTATGTGTTTTTCTATGACCAATGTCAGTCAAAGTAAGATGAGGCACATAGGCCCCAAACTGTTTGGTAAGTTAATATAAAATGAATGAATAAATAAATGACCTGCTTGAGATAGTGGGGACAATGTGGTGAACAGTTGAGGTCATTGCTCATAGAGCTGCATCTTTCAAGACCATAAAAGCATCCACAAACAGACCTCTTCAAATGGAAAACAAATGAAAATTCATAAAATGAAAAAAAGTTGAAACAGAAACAAGGAGAGAGAGGAGAGGAATGGAGATAGAGAGGAAGGGGAAGAGATAATATTCAGGGTCTGTGTTGACCATGCCAGAAAGACCAACAGTATTATGTAGGGCAAAGATTTTGGTTAATATAGCTAGACCTCCTAAGATCAGTCATGAGAGCAATCATGCCTCCACAAAGAAGCCTTAGTAAAACTTCTGCACAACGAGGTTCTAGTGGGCTTTCCTGATTCACAATACTCCATGTGTACAGTCTCACACTGATGCTAAGAAAGTCATATTGTTCTGACTTCACGAGGGGAGGACAACCGAAACTCTATGTTTGGTATTTTCTTGGAGTCTGCCTTAGGTACTTCTTCCTGCGGTGGTTTTTAATCCATATCATTTTTCTGTAGTAAACCATAACCATGGGTATAATAGCTCTCAATGAGTTCTGTGAGTCCTTCTAGCAAATCACCAAACATGAGGGTAGTTTTGGGATAACCCTGAATTTGTAGTTGGTGTCAGAAGTGAGGGTGGTCTTGTGTGAACTGTGCTCCCTCTAACTTCACAGATTGCTAAACTCTCCACAGGGACAAATTAATATGCATAGGTCTATCGTTGTGTGTGATATTGAGTATATATACTTGGGTGAAAATATTTCAATGTTAGATAACATTTTTGACACAAAAATCTGTGTTACTTTATGTCATTTGACACAAGTTGTAAGGATTTTCTTGATGTCAATTAACAGCAACATCACACTTTATAAGAAAAATAAGAATTATAGTAGCTTTCAGGATAGAAAGACCTGAATGAGTTTTTGAACTGTGACAGATACTGTTCTTTCATAGAGTGTAGCTCAGCTGTCCTGTATCCCATGGGTGTTAGGCTACTTTCATTGCTTGATTGTTTGGGGTCATTTCTGGGAAATGTGATTTTTATTTTCAATTTATGTGAAGTATACATTCTATCTTTTCAGCCTAAATATGATAATTGTTTTCTTCTTTAGACATCTGCTTAACAAGAGAAAAGGCATCTGTGACTGTATCTGCAAAAACAAAGTAGACAATAAATGCATTGGATTGCTTTGCAGGAACATAGTTCTCAAGTGACATTAGTTTATTTGCTTCCTGACAGAAAACATCAATAAATACTTTCTAATTAAGATAAGAGTTAAGAAATCCCTATTTTATTCCTTAGAATATAAGAGGTAAGAGACTGTTAATTCAGAAAAATGTGTAAAGATGCTTTTAGGTTGCTCTGCAAAAATTCAATATCATATTTTTATTTCTTTAAAAAAAATCTGCTGTTCATATAAATACCCCCAGAAAAGGAACCTCACATTAATGTTTCAAGATTCAATTTTGTGATCCTGCCCAAAATAAACCTAGATAGTTCAGTTCTATCTTCTTTTTTCTCTGATGACTCCTGTAAATCAGCTCAAAATCATCCTTTGGTTTTGGCCCTGACCTCTGAATCTTTCTATTTTCATGTTTGAAATATAACTTATAATTGAGATGAAATTATCAGGGCTGTCCTAGAGCTGAAAATAGGCCTGCATTCATAATCATAAACTACAGGATGACAAGACTTGTGAGCTATGGTGAAATTGAGTATAGTTTTCCCCAGGTATTCTAGAAAGTTCTCCTGTCTCACTGAGATTGTGCTTTCCTTACTTCTTTATTAAATTATAGGTTGCTGGTGCCCTTGAAATTTCTCACATTCCTTTAGGTTAGTCTGTTTATAATGCTTGCTACTCTTGAAGTATGGCTAGATTGAGATACACAGAATCTGCTGGCAAATTTTCAGGTTGAACTATTTCACAACTATATAAATGGTCCAAAACAATTGTAGAGTTACAAGAGGTCACTACTATCTTCCCCAAAGTTGGTACAACCTTACCCTACTGTTTTAGTCAGTTCTCACACTGCTAATAAAGACATACCTAAGACTGGGTAATTTATTAAAAAAAAAAAAAGGTTTAATTGACCCACAGTTCCACATGACTGGGGAGGCCTCACAATCTTGGCAGAAGAGCAAAGGACATCATCTTACATGGTGGCAAGCAAGAGAGAGAATTTGTGTGGGGAAATTCCCCCTTATAAAACCATCAGATCTCATGAGATTTATTCACTACCACAAGAACAGGAAGAGAAAGACCCACCCCATGATTCAATTCCTCCCACGACACATAGGAATTATGGGAGCTACAATTCAACGTGAGATTTGGGTGGGAACACAGCCAAACCATATCACCTATTTAGAGCCAAAGTATTTACAAAATGCTTGTGGTGTCAGGCAGCAGGGGAAGAATTATTGACAGCTGAAGTTCTAAAGATTGTGGATTTTTAATTATATCCGTAGGAGAGTGGATGATACGGCCGGGCACGGTGGCTCACACCTATTATCCCAGCACTTTGGGAGGCCGAGGCAGGCAGATCACTAGGTCAGGAATTCAAGAACAGCCTGGCCAATATGGTGAAACCCAGTCTCTACTAAAAATATAAAAATTAGCTGGGCGTGGTGGCAGGTGCCTATAGTCCCAGCTACTCGGGAGACAGAGGCAGGAGGATCACTAGAACCTGGAAGGTGGAGGTTGCCGAGGCTGCAGTGAGCCAAGACCATGCCACTGCACTCCAGTCTGGGCGACAGAGCGAGACTCCATGTCAAAAAAAAAAAAAAAAAAAAAATGGAGATTGGATCATGTAAAGCAATTGGGTGCAGGATTTTTTAATAGTCATTAAAATTTCATGACAATAAATGCTCATAACAAGAAATTTCACATCCTCTTTTTCATCTTCCCCAAATAGCTTTGAGATTTGTTTTCTCTCTTCCTCTTCTCTCTTTCCCATTCCTTTCCTCTCTTTTTTTCTCACCACTCTTCTCCTCTCTCTCTGTCTCATCCCCTTCCTCTGTCTCCATTCCTCTCCCTCTCCTTGTTTCTGTTTAAAGTTTTTTCATTTTATAAATTTTCATTTGTCTTCCATTTGAAGAGGTCTGTTTGTAGATGCTATTACGGTCTTGAAAGATGCAGCTCTAGCTGGGCGTGGTGTCTCACACCTGTAATCCCCGCACTTTGGGAGGCCAAAGTGGGTGGATTGCTTGAGGTCAGGAGTTCGAGACCAGCCTGGCCAACATGGCAAAATCCTGTCTCTACTAAAAATACAAAAATTAGCTGGGCGTGGTGGTGCATGCCTGTAATCCCTGCTACTCCAGAGGCTGGGGCACAAGAATTGACTGAACCCAGGAGGGAGAGGTTGCAGTGAGCTGAGATTGAGCCATGGCACTCCAGCCTGAGCACTAGAGTGAGACTCCATCTCAGAAAAAAAAAAAAAAAAGATGCAGCTCTACGAGCATCAACCTCAACTGTTCACCATACGGTCCTCACTGCCTCAAGCAGGGTTTAAAATTTGGTAGGTAGAAAAGAAACACTTTTAGGAAGACAGAAAGGAAAGAAAGGAGAGCGGGAGAAAAGGAAAGAGGAAGGAAAAAATACAGTTTTCTGTATTCCAAAAAAATTCAAGATGAAATACCATGAAATAGTTATGTATTTTTATAAACTTTCCTGTAAAGAACCACTGGGGCACAGCTTAAAATGGGTGTCAGAAAAAAGGAGAGAACAGAAACTCTACTTTTCAATAGTAATAGTATTACATATGTAGTACTAAATGGCTTTCTAGTTTGTGTTTGATTCAATGATGAAAATGCTCTGTACATTTCTCCAGCTGTGTTCCCCTAGCAGACTGGGACATGCAGTACTCTAAGAGCAGCTGTTAGCCCTCATGCAGTTTTATTTGCATGCTAAGAAAGAGCAGCCTGGCACATGAATAAAGCATGTTTATTTTTATCACACTCTCCCAGTAAGTTAGTTATACCTAAACATTTTCTTTTGAGAGACTGGGCAGAAGAAGCTAATCAGGCAATTTTTCAAAGCAATCATTCCAATAATTCGCTTTTTGTGAATTAAATTTTTGTCATATAAATAATTGGAGGAAGACTTCATTAAATATTAAAAAAAACCTGATGCTATTGTATATTTTGTTACTATTACTCTAATAATAGCAGTTTTTATTAACCCTACTTTCTCATCTTGAAATGTAAATATTGTAACTTTTAAAAATATGATATTTTTAGTGTGAAAAAATACTCCGGTTTACTGGTACTTTCTATTTCATCATTTATAGCTACAGAGGAAAATCTTAAAACAAACACAGTTTAATATTACCAAAATCACAATTACATGTAGTGTTACAATGTAATACTGCTATATCATGTCAATAAAAGGAACAACAATTATTATTTAAGAAGCTCACATTTGGAAATGCATTAGATCGATATGTCTTCAAATTCAAAATTAACAAATATTAGTGAATCTACTGTATTAAAATGTTGGTAAAGAAATATATTTTTAAAAAGTTATAATTCATAGATGAAAGGGTAGGGTTTTATTACAGATTTTTTTTGAAGATGGTAAACCAAGAATTCAGTACTAAAGTTTAAAGAAAAATAAAGTTTTTCTTTATTTCTATTTGCCATTTCTTACTTTAAAACCCTTGAATAGGGACTTCCTTGGAGAGTTTATAATTTATTTGCTCTATGCCTCATTTTAATAATCTAAAAATGCTTCCCTCTCCATGTAATGGGAACTCAGGATGTGATATTTATGAAGATTAATAACATAATGTTAATCTAAAATTGTAAGAAATTCCACTTATCTCAGTTAATCTCTTCACAAAATAAGATCACTGTGTTAACTCATTATTCTCCTGCTCTGCTTGTATTTATGTGCATGAAAATTTTCCTTAAGTAATCACTTCATAATTTTTCTGGGCTTCAGAAATTGTAAGTCACACTTTTTAAAGTACATCATTTACAAATGTTATTATTCTTACAGATCCTCTAAGTGGGAGCAGAAAGCAGGACCAGCTACCTCATTTTCTAGGCCTAATTTTCTAGGCCTGGAGTAAAATGAAAGTATAGGCTCCCTTGCTCAAAAATTATTGAGAATTTTAAGACAGTAATGGCAGACCCAAAGCGAATGTAGGGCTTACTAATTACTGTGGTTTGATCATTACACATGATCTAATGGAAAAATTGTATACACATATCAAAATGTCGTACGTATATATAAAAAAAAAGATTCCAAATTAGATTTGCTCTGCATACTCACTACTATCGTGGTACTCCATGGTTTCATCATCTGCCTAATCACGCATGATTTATTATTTCACTCTTCCTTATAAAGGCGCTAGGTAATTTACCTTTTGGAACTCTTTCCGGTCTCATTTCTTACTACCCTGGCACTCTCTCTCTCTCCCAAGCAGCGTTGGTTTTGCAGTTCCATGGATACACCTAGCACCCTACTGTCTTGGTGCTTGTCATCCCCACCCCCTCTAAAGGCTTGCACCATCAATTCATTCAAGTTACTGTTCTAGATACCTTCTTTATCACTCTATCAAAGTCAGTACACCTGTCAGTGCCTGACTAGCTTTTATCTACTTACACAATTTTTGGTGTATCCTGTCTTCCTCATTGCATTATAAGCTTCAAGAGCTCATGGACTGCGTCTAATTTATTCATTTTGTTCTCATGCCTAAAACAGTACTTGGCAAATTACAGGCACAAAATGAGTATTTGTTGAATGAATAAATCAAGAAGAGACTGAATAGAAAGTATGCAGCAGGAACATTTCCAAGTGTGAATTAGATACTATAATGGATTTATGTTCTTCTAATTTCTTAGATATGACATGAAAAATTGAGATTACTTAAAAATACATGTAAATATTACTATTTTAATGTTATCAATAAAATAATATTTTAGATTATTTAAATTTGGATTTGTATTTACTATTCATATTAATAGGTATGTGTGGTGCTTTTAGAAATAACTTTTATATTAACAACCTGCCATGGAAAAATATCAAATGTATCCTAAGATATTAAATTTGTATTTAGGTATTTCATTTAGCAAAATAATATGAGCTAACATGTATGTTTAAATATATCGTTATCTAAATCTCAATTTAAATTTGAAGTTAAAAAATGTTTATCAATTTCTGAATTTCACTGTAAAAATCAGTGCACATTTTAACACTTATTCAATCTTCCTCTCATCTCCAAAGATAACAACATATGAATGTGCTTTGAATTATTGAATATTCTCACTGTGAAAATGCAAGACAGGTAGGCAAAGATTAATAAAACTTGTCTGTGGATACACTCTGTAAAATCCAGCAATACAAGGCTTCTTAGTATACAACCAGGAGTACACTCTTCCTTTGTCCATGTGATATATATATTACTTGCTTTAATCTTTTGTTTTCTAGGCATGCTAAGAAATTGTACTGTCCCGCCTCAATTTTCTCTTCAATGCTTCCTTTGAGAATGTTGAAGTTAGTAATAAAGTGTGAAAAATAGTATGTCCAACTGCTATGCATCAGTGAAACAAACCATCACACCAGGCATATTGACCCTAAAAATTTGACTGTTCTAACTACTGATAAATAACTAATAATGTAATCCTATATAAATAGCAGCCAAAGAGAAGCAAATAAATCACCACTACCAAAAAAACACTGCTTCCACACATATAGTTCAAAAACAACTGAAGAAAATGATTTTATATGTAAAACAAACAAAAAAATGGTGTTGATCGCATTCCACAGTTGATTTGCCAATGTATTTGGAAAAGCAATTTTCTAACTCTTCCCCTTTCTTCCTCTCACTTCTGAGTAACATCTATGCTTCGCATCTGTACAAACATTCTTCTCATCTTCACAGATTGCCTATTCTTGGTGTTACCTACTATAAATGGGCAGTTTTTCAGGCCATTATCATTTTTTTGTATTTTTAAAAAGTAAGCAGGTTAAAATGTATGCTGTGTAAGTATTAAATTATAAATGAATGATATTTGCATTTCATTTGTTCTTAGTGAGTAGTCATTCTTAAATTTAGGTATTCATAAATATACTCCACCCAGCATTAAAAACTCAAGATGCAATGATCAGGCAAGGACAAATGATGGCTAAAAGAAAATTTTCAAGGAATTATAATGCTGAAAAATACACACACACGCACACCTCACAAATGCACTCCAAATTATTAAAAATATCCTCTTCTACATGATTCTATTTCTGTACCATCAAAGTAAATCTGAAAATACTTATGGATGAGAAAAAAAATGGAACTGATTTTCAAGCATTAAAGTATACATAACTTCTTTGTTCACACATTGTAAAATAATTTTTAAAAATCATAGTAATAAGAAATAAAGCCAAGCTCAGGATACAAAATTGTTTCCGATATAATTCATTCTGTACTGATGAGAAATATGTTTATCTTCAAACAGAAATTGTTCCCTGGTGATGCATAGGTTTCTCTATGCTAAGAGTATTGTGTGAGGCCAAATATGCCCTATAAATATTTTATAATGAGCTCAATGTATAAAAAATTAAGCTACAAAGCAAATCTCAGAAAACATTTGAATAAAGCAGAAATGGGTTATAACTGAGACCATAATTCCAAGCTAAATCCTAATTGATTATAACTGCTGAAAGGGAAGATAGTGATTATAAAAAGAGAAGAAAACAACCTTCATTTTACAGTTTGTTAGTCAAAAATATTTTCTTGATATTACACTACTTCTCTCAGTGAAAGAAATTATAATACATCTTTAAATGAATTAGAAAATTATCAACTTTCCCTACTTTTTGTTCTCTTCTAAGTAATGAATATAATACAGAGTTTTCAAACACAACTACTAGGATTGATGTCTAGATATTAATATTTTCCAGATTAACTTGGTTCCATTTCTAAAATTCAAAATCATCTCTTTTATTCTAGAAAGCTTGGAGGTAGCCCAGGAATACACATTAAAAAATAAATATAGAATGACTTGATAAATCTATCATGGTTCAAATTTCAGTAAATGCTTGTTCATCTACATTATCTCATGGGAAGCTATTATGTTAGAGCCAGTTACCAAGTGAAAATGGTTATATTTAAAGCCTATTTCTCACTGTTTTTATTCTTCTTAAGCTACTTACTGCAAGGAAGGAAGTTTGCCCCGGTGGTAGGAACATTAAAAGTATAATTTTTAAATATTATTATAGGTAAATGTTACAAATTGGACTACTTAAAATAATAATCTACATAAAAATTCTCTCATATTGCCTGGCTTAAATCCATTTTAAGCAACCATCTGTACCATCATCAATTGACAACTAGAGGACCTGATTTTGTTGTGAGAAAAAAGTAGATGAAACAAATTCCTACACATCATAGGTTGAGGAGAATATTATAGGGTCCTACATTACTGGCTAATCTTACTAAGTTCAGAATAGGGAACATGAGCTTCTAGTATTGCATGGGATTAATAAATATCTGTTTAGCCAAGTTAATATTGAATCCTGAAGAATATAAACATGATACATCTGTCTGAAATGCTGTTTGGCATAAACTTATGGAGAAGTCTCTTTTCTTTTAGAGAAATATGCTGAGAACTTAAATGTTTCCAAACACATTTGGAGTGGATTCAAATTTTCTCCTTCTAGCCCCCTTCCTCTTTCTCTCCCTCTCTTTACCTCTCTCCCTCCCTTCTTCCCTCCCTCCTCTTTCTTTACTTTCTATCTTCCTTCATTCTTCCATCAACAAATATTAATGAAGGCTTACTGTGTGCTAGGTTTGTGCTGAATGCCACTTTTTCATTAAGCAATGTACTCTAATATGCACTTATATGGATTAATTAAAGCCAGTTGCCATTTTAGTTATCATTTCTCTGCTTCACAGAGATAAAACAGCTGGTCTTCTCTTTTTTCTCCTCTTTCTCTTCCTCCTTGTTGCATTAAAATATAGGTTATTTAATCTCCACTGACAAAGAAATAATGCCATGTTAATGTAATCTTTATAATTTTGTTTCAGTGTGATAGTGGATAAGTGGGAGGCTGAGCATTAGGAACAGAAAGAAGGAATTAATACTACCTAAGTACTTTTTAAAATTGACATTTAGTTTACATACAACAATATATGAAAATCTTAAGTATTCAGTCATTAATTTTGACAAGTGCATTTGCCAGTGAAACCATCACACCAAACTGTAGAACTAATGTAACCTTTAAAATATATAAAATAATGTAAAATACATGAGGTTTTGCAATGTTTAAAACCTGTCTTTTTGAAAGTCTTCATGCTTTCTGCTAAACTATAAAGATTTTAAAATTTGTACACATTTTACAGGCAAATTTGCTTAACTTCAGAAGAAAATTTTAAATCTCTAGAAGTCAATAAATTTACAGCTAAGTAAATTGAAATTTTTAAGTTCTCATAATAAATTCTATGGTATAAATATGTAATTTATGCCCCATAAGCTATTCCTACAACTTCTGAGAATCAATATTATTCCTAACATTAAAATCTATTGCATACTCATAAACAGAAATTTCTCTGCATTTGTCTCCGAGAAAGATTTAAGCCTCATTTGATTGGAACCTGTTTGCATAATACATTTTGGAGTTTCATTAAAGAGGGCTAAGGGAGCAAAAATGATCTTAGTAAGACTTGAAATTATGACATTTACAAAAATAAATGCCAGGTTTTGAATTAACAAGACTCAGAATATAATTCCGTATCTGGCTTTTTATTTTGCACCTACCAGATAGTTAAAGTAAGAGACTTATTTGAAATGACTTGTAAATTGTTTTTATAGAGATTTTCTTTTATCTTTTTCCTGCTCAACAATGGGCTAGGTGGAAGATACTCCAAGGAAAAACACTAGAGTAATGTTTTGTAAAACATTTTATCCTACTTCAGTGAACTATATAAAGTTCTGTGTAGTTAAGTGTTTCTAGGTGCTGCTGAAACACAGCTACAGGTGCTCTATTATTTCTTTGTTTAGAATAATGTGAACATTATTTAGTCTTAAAAATATTTTACCCTTTATTTCTCTATATTCAAGAAACAAAATGTAACACCCATCATATTCCGACGTGTTTTTAGCTTATTTAAGGAAAAGTAAAAGTAGCTTCAGTTTAAGATATTTGAGGTTATATGTGATATATATGTCTTAGCCCTGTCCTCAAGGCATAGACCCCACTTTTAAGCTTCACTATAATCTGTAAAATATTATAGTTCATTTCAGGTATTGCTTATTTCTCTTTTAAAAATTACATATTTTAATTCCTTTGTGAGAAAATACCACACTATTAGCTGTTTTAGAATTTCCTGTGTGCTGTCAAAAAGTGTTTTACAGAAAACGGACATATGTGTAAATGATTTGAGAAACATTGTGATTAAACAAAGTTACACAGGTTTCCTTATTGCAGAGCTTCTTCAAATCTTCCATGATCTATTGTGTATCTTTAACAGAAGAATATCTTATGATATTTTTTTCTTGAAATATTTCACTACAGATTTTTTTTCTTGGAATAATTATTAACATCTAGAGAAATTCTATCATACATACATATCATTCAGGAAAATACAGCCAGCAATATGTCATTAATTAAAAATGGTAAAATCAGCTATTTCTACCATTAACTAATAGTTATTATCCAAAGATACATGCCCAATACAGACACACACACACACACACATACATACACACACACACACACACACACACACACACACAAATGTTCTCTGTGGCCACCCAATTTAATCTTCTCATTAAATGTCCTAAAATCAATGGCACTGGTTCACTATTTATACATAAACAATGTCAACATTCTTTACTGGCCTTTGTGTATCACTGTAGATTTGGGATGAAATAATAACAAGAGTATTGAATATATGTTTTAAAAATGTTAAATTCTGAATTGAAAAACGACACAAGTGAATTTTTTTTAAATGAACATGAGGGAAATATTTACAAAACATGCAGCAGGCAAAGAAAACATTTACTATTATATCAAGTTTTTACCATTAGTAAGTAAAAGTTGAACAAAATAAGAAAAAATGAGCATAATACTTTAGTAGTTCACAAACAGGAAATAAATGACTAAATAGATACTTATAATTAAAGAAAGGTAGATTAATACAAATTAAAATTTTAAAATCTATTATGTTGACAAAGGGTAAATTAAGATGCAATTTTGTGAAAACATTTTGATTAAAAGTTTTAGAGGATAATTCAGCAATACCTGTTAAAATTCAAAATGTAGTTTCTTTAACTAGGAATTTCTTGACTAAAAATGTATTCCTAGAAAATATTGCAAAGATTTATGATCTAAAACATTCATTACAACATTGTTCATAATAGCGAGCTTGCAAGACAATGTGAAAAAATTTAAATGTATACCAATACATGACTAAAAAAATAAATTACAGTATTCCACACAACGAATTAGAATGCATAGAAGGAAAGAATCTGTTTGAGTTGGTATTAAAGAAAGTTTTAAAATAGCATTTTTGGTATCCTAAAAAAAAAGAGCTGATTCTTTCCCTCATTATATATGCCCACATATAAATATTTATGCAAACTTATAAACATATATATATGTGTGTGTTTGTGTGTGTGTGTATATGCGTATGTATGAAAAAGGACATAATCAAAGATAGATACATCTGCATATACATATACACAAACATGTATTTATGAAAGAATATCTATGGAAAGATTTTTGTAAATATCTTAGATTCAAGAATAAGAGTTTGGAGGGCATTCATTTAATTGAATAATATATTTTCTGTATTTCTGGCTTGCCAATTTTGTATTCTGGTTTTGCCAATGAAAGTAATGGCAAAAACTGCAATTATGTTTGCACCAATGTAATATGAAGTTTATGTAAATAAAATTCCTCTCTCCAGAGTTGAAGCTATAAAAGCTTTGGTTTTTAAAAATTTTATCATTTACAAAATAATATTGTTATAATATTTATTATTTAAAAATAATATTTATTATATAAGTATATTAAAATTTATTATAAAAATAATATATAATATACATATTGTAAATATTATAATATTCATATTATAAATAATTATAATATTCATAATATACATATTATAAATAATTATAATATTCATAATATACATATTATAAATAATTATATTTATAGTATACATATTATAAATAATTATATTTATAATATAGTGATAATATATACAATATATAAATAATATATAAGATTAAGATAAAAATTATATAATATATATTATTTATTATTTAAAATTTGTTTTCATTCATTTTTTATTTACAAAAATAAGCCCAAAATTTCCTATTTTTTTATATTTAGCAGATGGATTTCAAAAGTAAATCTGAGTCCTTTAATAATTTTTAAAATTAAATATCTATCATTTTTATAATAGAAATATGTTAAATAACTCTATTAACATTTATAATATAGATCTCTTAATATGTTCTTTGAAGTAGAATTTCATTTTCTTCTAAGTTATTAATTTTTCCATTGTTTAGCAAAGTAGTTTTAGACAGTTATCTATAAATTATCCAGTAAGATTGCTTTCTGGAATGCTTACAAAGAGTATATAAGATGCATTCTAAAAATGCTCCAGTTATTTTCATGAATAATACAAAACTTATTTTTTCAGGCATTTATATTTTATATGTAAAATTTCCATAAACCTGGAAAAATAACTGAAATATCAATTATCAATTATTAATGGGCCTGCCCTTAATGACAGGATTATTAATTACTGATTTTTAAAATATTTTTCTTTCTCTTTTTTTTTTTTTGAGACAAATTCTCGCTCTGTCACCCAGGCTGGAATGCAATGGCACGATGATCTTGGCTCACTGCAACCTCTGCCTGCAGTGCAAGCGATTCTCCTGCCTCACCCTACGGAGTAGCTGGGATTACAGGTGCCCGCCACCATGCCCGGCTAATTTTGTATTTTTAGTAGAGACGGGGTTTTGCCATGTTGGTCGGGCTGGTCTCGAACTCCTGAACTCAGGTGATCTGCCCGCCTCGGCCTTCCAAAGTGCTGGGATTACAGGCATGTGCCACCGCACCCAGCCCATATATTTCTTTTAAAGAAACACAAACATTTTAAATATAGACATTGGGTAATAAAGAAAAGTTGTCACAAGTCTTTTATTTCTTAAGGTTTCCCCAGAATATGAAAGACTGAATGCCATATGATTTCAGATTTTCTTTGATATTACTAAAAATAATTCCATTTTAAACCCACATTTTAAACCCACATTAGTCTTTGACTATTCATGATCAGCAAAGTTATGCAAAACTATGTTTTTTTACCATTTATTGGTGTTCTTTTCAATAATGAGAATCCTTTTGCCACAGTGGCATATGTATGTGAACTTTTAATAATCTAGTGATACAATCATGTTATTAATTAATAACTGTATATGAACAGCAGGATTTCTTTGCATTTTTTCATAGAATTTTAAAATTTTATTACAGCTAAAAATATTAAAATAAAAGTCATCTATTAGGCTGAAAAGAAAAATTCATAGGGATGTCGGAACAGACCAGCCATTTATCCTTGGTAAATTCATAGACCATTACTTTTTTCATGAAGACATGATACTAATTGTAATATGACATTGCACTCAAATATTACCTCAATAAAACTTTAATTTTAGTTTCAGATTGTTACTTGTAAATATCAAATATGATTAATTACTGGTTTGTGAATTCATCAACAATACACACAAAGTAAGTGCTATTTTCATTCCCGTTTTATAAATTGTGAACTGTGGCACTAAGAAGTCAAATATCATGTCCAGTGTCACAGAATTAATAAGTAGTAGAATGAAGAATCTGAACACAGGCAATCGGATTCCACAATGCATTCTCTTACCTCTATGCTATCATTTACTATTCTTTAAAGTATTGTTTTAAAAGTTTTTTTAATTTGTAATTTTTATGGATGTATAATGGCTGTACATGAGGTACATGTGATACTTTGATACGATCATACAATGTGTTACCCTTTAATATCTCTCTTAAAACGATGACCAAGTTTTGAATTTTATACAAAAAAGAGAGCATCTGGAGCCAATAAGAGGAAAAAGGTGAAGGGAAGGCATCCTTTTAAGATAATTTTCTAAGGCTTTGGGCATGTAATCCTGACCATTAGGAAAGCAGCAGCTGTGATGTGAGTGAGGGTAGGAGAGCCTCCTCAAGAGTCCTACTAGTCTGACTATCTTCTGCCCTTTTTTATTATTTTTAAGGCTACGAATTCTGAAAGGAAAAGGATGTGAACATGGAAGATATGTTAATAACCAAAATGTAGATCATTTTTGATCATTTCACCCAGGTCTTAATGCCAAGGTCATAGAACTGATCACAGCAATTGGTTAAATAAGAGTCACCTATCTCAGGGTTTCTTAAACTTGAAAAACTTCAGGCCCCAAGAATATGGTCTTAGAAGACAGCTTGAAAAACTCAAACTGACAAGAAAACAAAAACATTTATTCTTCATTTGGCTCCAAGATAGAAGCAAATGTAAGTAATAAAAAAAATTGTGGTATTTGGCTGTAAGACTGTCATCTAATTCTTCTAGTATGTATATGTGTACATGTATGTGTGTGTATATGAATGTGTAGGAACACTGACATAATTTATAAATGAAATATCATGGAGACTTTTAGATCCTAGAGAATATATATTGGAACTCAGTCTGAAAAACATTGATGAATATAAAGAATTTCATTATGAACACTGCAGTGCTATTTCACAACATCCTCTGATTTAACTAAAGACTCCCTTTATTCCTTCTTGAGCTAGATAACTCACATATTGTGAAATAAAATACTACTAAATATGCATTTTCTGATAAGGACTGGTATTTAAGGGAAGTGGATCTAGATTATTTCCACTTCTGAGTAGGCCTTTTACTTTTAATGTAAAAGTTTTGTTTTGAGTTGAAGTCTCTCTTTTTTACACCTATGTCAATGTGCTCCTACAAGTTACTAGGAGTTTTAGCTTTTCATTGATATGATACCACTTTGCTGGATACAATAGATGAAAGCAAAGAATAATAAGAAAGGCAGGAACCTAATCCAACAAAGAAAGGATTTGGGATTTTTTAACTTACTTTCTCTTTACACCAGTGGTAAAATTAGATTTTGATTATTGATATACTCAATTTTGAAATTGATATACTCAATTTTGAGTATTCTTTGTGAAGACCTGGTGAATTGTGCTATTTTATATTCATGGCTGTCTTCAAGCTTTATAAATTGCTCTTAAAATGGAATTGATCTCTCAGTAGATAAGCACAGCTAACTTTTCGTTAGTGAAAACCAGTGATGGATGAATAACGACTCAAAATAAATAAAACCTCCACTTTAAACCACAATGCCAACATCTCTCACCAAGCATAAAGCCAAACAAGCTGATATTAGCTAGTTCTGTTTCTCTTTCTACTCAGGATGAAGTTGTAATAAGTAATGACACTGTTATGGTGAAAACTAAAGGCAAACCTAGAAGAAAATGCCATTTTATATAAAAAAGTGGCCAGCTAACTGATTAGTCCCTGAGTAACTGAAACTTCCTTGTAGGTTTTTTTTTTTTTTTTCAACAAAATACACTGGGAACTTAAAATTAAAATAAAACAATTATTCTTCATAAATTGCAGCAAAATTTTGTTCTCAGTATCTCCCAACATTTCATAGCCTATCCATTATATCTATCTCTCTTTCCTTGAGAAAAAGTATAATTTATACTGAACAGTGAAAAACTGTAGGACATAATAAAAATCAGTTTGTGTTTTCTTCCTGTTACGTAATTAGATTGTAATCCTCCAAGAAGTCCTCTCTCACTCAATTTCTGTAACCTGTTGGTTAATTGATGATTAAGGAGATGTTCTACCAAACTGTTCAGGAACTGACATAGGAGTAAAAAAAAAAAAAAAAAAAGCTTACTGTCTTATGTCTTGGTGCACATATTATTTGCAATTTATTTTTTCTTTTCTTTTCTTTTTTTTTTTTTTTTCTTGAAAAGGAGCCTTGCTCTGTCCTGGCTGGAGTCCTGGCTGGAGTGCAGTGGTGCAATCTTGGCTCACTGCAACCTCCACCTTCTGGGTTCAAGCCTCAGCCTCCTGAATAGCTGGGATCACAAGCGCCTAACACCATGCCTGGTTAATTTTTGTATTTCTAGTAGACACAGGGCTTCATTGTGTTGGTCTCGAACTCCTGACCTCAAGTGATCCACTAGAATCGGGCTCCCAAAAGTGCTGGGGTTATAGGTGTGAGCCACTGCGCGTGGCCATATATATATAGAACTCAGGTGAAGTACGGAGAAAGAAAGAAAAAGATTATTAAGTATTTTATCACTAATACTCTTTTCTACAAAATTTTTTTGAAAGTAGCAGCAGCAAAAGTTAACTTTTCATTCTCCAATAAATTTCATACTTAAATATAGGTTAGGCTGAAAATAAAGTAGCTATACTAAAAAAGGCTACCCTGTCAACTACATACAACAAATTGGCTATTTAGAATCTAAAACTGTATTTTATTTTCTTATAGGAAAAAAATTATTTAACCTACATACATAGTTAACAATGTCCATGAGCAAAATTGCTATTGAGTAATTTGTATAATAACATTCCTATTCTTGGTTTTGCCCAAATTTTTTAAAAAATCCCCATGGGAAACAAAATATTACCTTTGAAATGTAGATAAGTTTTAAAAGATACAATCTGTTTAGGGGATTAAAGAATTATTGACAAGACTTCCAAATTTCATTATTGATAATTTTCAGTTTTTATCCCTTCAACTAGACATTTCCACCCAATTCTGTCTCAACATGAATTCATCTTTTCTGTGCAATTACCCCAAAACGTGACAGAAGCATCATAGAAGAGAATTTTTTTAAGCAACGGTTTTAGCTACTCAAGAAAGTCATTTAAAAAAAATAGACAAAATTTCAAACCTAATAATGTGATAACTTATTCTAAAAACAAGTGTGCTCAAAATGACTAAAGTAGTTGAATTTTAATAATGCACTTGACTTGATATCTAATATGGCTTGCATTTGTCTTCATTTATCTTTTCTTTTTCTAAGCCTCCCCTCTTTCTATAATCTTTTGCTAGTTTTCTGTCTTCTATTTTGTTTCTTGCTGCTCCCATTTTCACTTTGTCCTATCTGTATGTGTTAGATTCTTTCCCTTGCTCCTTCTTTGGACACCTCTACATTCCACCACATTCAAAGACGCTGATCCAGCCTCCCACTTCCAACTGCCCAGAGAGGGGATGGGCAGAGAGGCAGTGCATGGAGTAAAGTACATGGATTCTAAAGACTAACTGTCAAATTCATGGCCCAGAACAGCCACTGGAGGACCTCTCTTTACTCTACTATCCTCTTGGTTATACTAGCTACCTCAAAGCAACATAAATTAATTTACAGAAAGCGCTTAAAATAGTGCACAGTGCATTGTAAGCACTCAGGAAGAGTTACTGATCTATGTTACCGAATCCCTGGGTTCAGAGGTGAATAGAGGTCACTTCATTCCTTAACTTCCCTCCTGTTTTAGGAAGCTAGACATCCTTCCCTATTTAATGATATTTTCTATTCCAATTTTTGATACATCCGTTAGTATTATTCCCTCTTTCTTTAGTATTATTACCTTTTTTCTTTTCAATGGTTCCTTTCCCTGAACATGCTAGTATGCTCAAGCCTCTCATCTTCCAAACACACATAAAGGTAAACATTTAAACACACACACACACACACACACTCACACACACACTTCCCCCTCCCCAAAAAAAAACACATTATCTTAACTCTTTGTAGATACTACCTATCTGCTTCTTCCCCTTTATTGTGATAATTCATCCAACTTTGGTTTGTATTTGTTATTTACATGTGCTTATCTTGTATTGCAATCTGCCATCAACAAGTCCATTCTTATGAAATTGTTTTGTTTTGTTTGGGGGGTTGAGGTTTGCCTGCTATAAGAAACACTGATCTAGTAGCTACTTTTTGTATTTTTCCTCTGTAGGATTTGCCAAGATTATCCAGGTTCCAAACTCCCTGTTTTGAAAGTCTGTCACGTCCATGTAGTGTACTTAAAGGAGCTTGAGTTTAGGAGTAAAACAGAATTGTGGGTCTACTAAGTTTTCATGACAGTTTTTGTGTTCCATGATGAAAATTCATAATAGCACCACCTGATGTTGCTGTGAGGATTAATAGCATATATAAATCACCAGGAAGGTCCTTGTTCATGATTTTCATTTCCTATGTGTTGAGCACTTATCTAAGCAATTAGCATGTATAAAACCATTTGATGATCACTACAACCCTATGAGGTTGTCTGCTATTTTTATTTGCATTATAAATGTGGATAGCTTTCATAAAAGAGCTAAATTTCCCAAACAAAATCTTAGCTATGGGTAGGACCAAGACTTGTGCCCACACAATGTGGCTCCAGCATCTGTGCTCTTCATTCCCTTGCTGTATAGTAGCTTCCTTGTTGCTTTGACTTCAGAACATTGCTTTCTCAAGATTGTCTCTCTCATTTCCATTTTCCCCTTCTTTAGATCTATCTAGTCTATGCCAGAGTTCCATTTTTGGCCCATTACCAATGGGTTTTAATCTTTTAGTGGTTACAGACAGCTGCCAAAAGTTAAAATACCTTTTTTTCAGAATGAAGCACCAATGTGTATGGAAGCATGGTTTCACACCCAACATAGGGAGATTCGTTTACCTCATGAAGCCTCTCTGTTAAGAACCTTACATTAAGCATTTAACAAATTCTGTTGGTCATTTATTTTAATCACCTCTTGAAGTTTTCTCTTTCTTCCCATCCCTCTGCCACTGACTAAGAATATCACTCACCATCTTTTTATTTTTCCAGTGAAATGAATCTAGAGTAGTGAATAACACTTTTGTATTAAATAGATATGGAATAGACCCCCCAGATCCACTATTTCATTAGCCTTGAGCAACGTACAGTTCTTTGTTCTTACAGCAAAACAAGTTAGGATAATGATGTAGACACTATTAATGCACGTGTGTGTATCGCAGTGCATATTAACATATTAAAATTCCAAGTGACCCATTAGTCAATCTTTTATAAAATGCTTCTATTGACTGAGAATTTCACAATTACATTTGACCATAAGCCATTTGTCATGGAAATCTCATTAATATTATATTGGCCACTACATAAATTATCTTCCTTGCTAATCTCACAGCATGTCTTCAGTATTGTCATCAAAAGTGACCTTTCTGAAACAAAAATTTCTCATGTGTCTACTCCAGCTGAAATTTTCTGTGGGGGCCTGGATTGTCTCTATGTAATAATTCTTCATATACCAGCCTCAATTTACCACCCTGGTTCTTTATGCTGTAGTTCCAGCCCCAGCAAACTACGTGATTTTTCCTTAAGATAACTCTGTGTTATTCATATTATTATCTGTGTACATTTCCCTCTGCTAAGAATGCCCACTTATCTCTGTGCTGTGGGCTGAATGTTTGTTTTCCTCTTAAATTCATATTTTGAAATAGTATTCCTGAAGATGATGGCATTAGAGGTAGGGCTTCTGGGTGGTGATCAGGCATGCAGTTTCCAGAAACTTGAGAAATAAATTTCTTTGGTTTATAAGCCACCAAGTCTGTGGTATTTTGTCATAGCAGCCTGAACAAACTAAAACACTTTAGCATGTAGAACACCCATATTTCTATAAGCCTTTCAACTGACACATGAGCAGAATTAATTTATTCCCTTTCTCTCCACAAAGTGCTCAAATATCTTACTTTATGCTTGTTCAATTATCATATAAATTGTTTTATAGGTACATCTCTTGGATTCAGTCTTTACCATGAAATTTGATCTTCTGGAGAACCAGGTAAATATTATTCAATATTTTATCATCTTTTATTTCTCCCTTCCACTTCTTTCCCTAATCCTACAATATGCTTTATAAAATACTAGTTCATAATTGCCCCTCAAATAATGTTTATTAAAATAAATGAATATGTGAGATATATATATATCCTTTAATTTTAAACATTAAAAGTGGATTAGTTAAATAATTCTGATTAAGAATGATTAAGAAGTAATCAAAATTTCTAGTAACTTCTTTGTGCAAATACAGATTTACATAGGTAGGATATATGCAAGGGGGAGTCACAAAGTATGAATTAGTGGTGACAGTAAAGGCAATACATACATGTATACTAAAAATACTGACTGATGACAAGCACGAACCTCTAATACAGGAATAGTATTTAATACATAACCCCCTAAAATATGTATGTGTGTGTGGGTATATATATATAAATACATAAATCCCCATGCTAAGTTAAAATCTTTACAATTTTTAGCACCCTTGCTAAAAAGCAACATATGGATAGTGTATGTAGGCTTATTTGAAATCTTTAAGAAGTTCCGCACATGGAATATTAACTAAATATGAAGACATCCTGTGTTTACATAGTATTAACATATGGTGTCAATAAACATAAAGTTATCCTCAATAAATACAGATTAAAAAAACTCAACCAACAAAAGAAGGCTATAAAACTCTTAAATAATCATCCATACCATCTCTCGAGATCATCCACCTACTTATTTAGATGTTTTTCGTTATGTCAACTTCCTCTACCACTGTGAAATGAAGACCTGATCTTAGATTGTGATTAAAAGGAAAGCAGACATTACTCTGTAATCACTAGTGCAACCTTTCTTTGAGAAGGTCAAGGTGGTTTACAAATGTTTCTGTCACATAAATAGTAATCCTCATATTAATCCTGCCTGGTAAGTAATTATGCATAAAATATCCCATATGAATTTTAGCAAAGCCATCAGTATATTAAATATTAAAGGAGTTTTAGATTCTAATTATTTCAATGTCATGTTCAATGATAAATGTTTTATATATATATGTCATATATATTCATAGATATATGTCATATATATTCCCACGTATACACATGCATATGTATAATCTGGCTCAGCTATAATAAATTTCTCATTTCTGCAGAGTAAGTTTTTATTTCTCCATAGTAAGAATAACTTTAGGTAAGCAATTCAAAGAACCCAACTATTTAAAGGCAATTTCATTCAGTTCTTATGTTTTTGCATAACTTGTAGAGATTTTAATAGCACAGGTTTTTTTTTATCCTTATAGTATCCTTTGCTCTTTTTATTAGTACAGTCTCTTTTGATCCAAAAACTCAAGCCATTTTGCCTTACTAATTAATGTTCACAAGGGACAACTCCAGAGTCCAGCTCTGGATGATACACATCATCCATCATGATGTGGCAATAAGCTACCACCACCTATCAAATGCACAGTAGATTTACACCACGTTGCCCTAGGCCTCAGTAGACTAATTCTGTTGTACAGGTGTTTTCATAGATTTTATTTTGGTGTGGATAATCAAAATGTAGACAAAGAGAGACCTTAGGTATAGTATATGGGGGTGATGCTAAGGAATAAATGGATGTCTGTGTGTGAGTGTGTATGTGAATCTGCAGTTTTGACTAAAAACACATTTCTGCCTCTGCTGATTTGAAGGAGAGACAAAACGAAGAGAGGGCAAAGAGGGAAGTGCAAAAATAAGTGGTGTTCCAATTGGTTTACCTTCATCTAGAATGAAAAAATTGGAAGAATAATGGTAAAACCTGCACCAGGGAACTATTACTCCTTAATCTCTTCTTATCTGAAGTACACTTACAGGTGTCACTATACATGTTTTTTTTTTTTTTTTTCAGCCTGATAATACAATATGGGGAAATTTCAGAGTTCACAGAGTTTCCAGGTGACCAACTATTTCAGTGCTAGTCATCATTCCTATGGCTCAGGTCTCATTTAGGGATGGGGTAAAGGGAAGGTACTTAAGTATTGTCTATGTTCTATAGTACATATCATTGTACATTATAAAACCGAAGCTAGAAGCAGATCCGATTTAGGAAGCTTAAATGACAAAACAAGCTAGTGAGAATTCCAGTGCTGTTCTTTCTATTGGATAGCAATATATGTCTAACTCCAGAAGCAGCTCCAGAAGTTATAATTAACTTTAGGTGGATAAAAACTAAGCCATCTCCCAGTCTCAAAGCTCCTATTGTGTTCCGTTTTCTTGTTTGGAACATGATACATCTCGATGTGATGCCTGAGAAACTTAAATATACAAAATAATTGTCAATGTGACATGGTAAGAAATATGTTTGGTCTCTTTTCCCATTTCCTGACACACAGCTTTTAAATTCTTGCAATCTCTGAAATGGTAAGTATTTTCATATGCTAATGAGATTGCTGGGGGCTGGGGGCTCCTGGAAAGCCCAAGCATGGGGGCTGGTTTCCAGGGGAACCAACCAAGTGATTAGAACTTTACCAATTTCAGACACCCCAGTGTCCCACACAACACCTCTGGGGAGAAGAAATGGCCTGAATTTTTTTATCACTACTGGCAGGTGATATAATGAATCAGGCCTGTGTATTGAGGCCTCTCTAAAACCCCCAAAAGATGAGTTTCTGAGAGCTTCTGCTTGTTTAGGAAAACCTTAGTACCTCAAAATGAACAGAAAATCATTGGCAATACCTATACAAATTTATAGAAAGAAAAAACACAGACAGCAAAAATTTTCAACTGATGAAAATTCTCTTCCTTCCAAAAGTAATTAAAAAAAACAGCAACCAAGAAACAACAACAAAAAAGAAACAAAAAAAAAACCTGTCTTAAATATATTTTTAAAAAATTACCTGGACATATTAAAAAATTATATTTCTAATCAGTGAAACAAAAAATAGCAATGGAGAAAGCATACAAAGATGTGAAATGAAATCTAAAAAGGTCAGAAAAGAGAAGAAAAAGAAAAACAAACTCAGCAGCAAAGCATCAGCCATTAGGTGGCTACAGAAGAATAGATTCTAATGAGTATTTTATAAATGGCATATAAGTGCCATTGAAGAAGGAAATGAAGAAAACTCAAACAACACAACAGAAAAAATTATAAAGGTTATAACTGAAGAAAGTTTTTCAGAAATAAGGATCTTCAGCCACATGTTGAAAAGTCACATTTTGGTAATTCTTAAATATGTTCTAGAAAAATTTTTAGTTCTTAAGGATATTTTAAAAAAAATCCTCTGGAGTTTCAGGCAAACAGATCAATTACTTACAAAGGAAAAAAGAAAATTAGGTTGTTGTGAGAAATCTTCACAGCAATAGTCAAAATAAGGCAGCAGTAAAGCCTTTTTTAAAAAATGCAAGGAAAGTCTATATGTGCTAAGGTACCTTTCTGGCGTCAAGATTATAAGTGCAAGTGCTGGGAGGATGGGATGCCTGGAGAGAACATGGAGGCTCAGCTCCCCTTTCCATGTACCTTCCCCAGTGCAGCTCTTCCATTCCGCTGTTCCTGAGTTGTATCCTTTTGCAATAAACCCGTAATCTAGTAAGCAAACGGTTTTCCTAAGTTCTGTGAGCCATTCCAGCAAATGATTGTGTACACATACACATATGCATATATATGTGTATGTATACACACATCTCTCTCAAAAATATTAATGATTGATATAAATATTTAAAAGAAAAATGTAGGTAAAGATGGTGGAATGAAACTGTATCATATAATCATCTATCATCGACTCTTTAGTAGCCAGTAACAGAAATCTAAAATGATAAAAAAAATTTTTTTAAGTAAGTTACTGTCAAATAAACCAAAGTGAATAACCTCCTACTACGCATATCAAAAGTGGCACTTAATGGCTTGACTCTTCTCCTTTCCATCTGACTGCTTCAAATACTGTAGAATAAAGGTTAGTTGACAGGACCTTGATACTTCCTACTAATATCTTAGCAGTATTATCATAATTAACATTACTTATGGACAGAAAGAGGCCAAAATAATGAGCAGGGAGCCCTAGGGAAAACTAAAGGTAAAGCACTTGAGAAGATCTATCTTAGTAAAGGCAGGAGGACTTTGAAGAATCAGGGCACCACCTTGAATTGGGGTAAAGGCTTAAGCATCTCACCAAAATCATAAATTTTAATATAAGACAACACTGTCTTAGAAGAGAGAGTAGAATGCTGATCTTCCAGAAATACTTGGAAATAGAATCAGAGAAACCAAGGTCTCCACTTCTAGCTGCTAAGGGCAAAAAGACCACAAACAAACAAACAAACAACAATAAAAAATTCCTGAATTCAGATATTGTGGGAGAGGGGATAAAATGGACTTCAACTACATATGTTAGAATAAATAGGAGATTTAATTCAAATTACTGATTTTGGCCCCACAAGGAAAAATGAAAATCAAGAAGATTATGAAAATGTCATACATTAAAGAGAATAAGGAAGATTTTTCTCCAAAGAGAGTCCTTGCGTTCCATTCAGGTTCTGGCTTTGTATGTTTTATTACAAAAGGAATGACTGTGGTCTCCTCCTGATGGTGAGGTTGGTGTTGAGCATCCTTCTATCTATCCTCTCACCAGACCCTGATTATTTTTCACTCCGTACAAAGCAGCCCTTTGTCTCCAGCTTATGTTCAGAGTGATAGCAGTGTAGTAAGAAACTACTGAGGGCTGCTTTCAAGGGGAACCAACCAAGTGATTAGAAGGCCATGTGTATATTGTTTTCTCTTGCAGTAGGGAAAGTATAGAGAGGATCATGCAGTTAATTCAGTAGATTCCTTCATTTCCTCATCTCCATTCTTTTATTCATATATTGCCAATGCAGTAAAAAAGTTAAAAACATTTCTTTGTTTTCATGCCATCAAAAATCCCAAAAAATTTTGATTAGAAATACAATCATCTGATTTGAATTATTGATATTTTTCCAACAATCTAACCTAAAAAACTAAGAGGGAAATTTATTTCTCTATGGGCCTATACTTTGTGAAGAGAACATATGGTGATCCAAGGACATTAGGCAAGCCATTAACAAAGGCCTATGAACCACTTTACAAAATATTTTTGAAATGAAAATTAATGAGTAGTCTTTTTTGAGAGCTCTTTCATAGTTGAACGCAGCTGAATGAGATTCATTTGGAAGGAGAAATTTTATTTATATTGCTTTTTACTTCATTAAGCAAAAAAAATGAAAAACAGCTATCTATGGCCGATGCAAAAGATCACAAAAGCAAAAATTGATATATACCACATTGTAAAATGCATTTGGAAGTAGATGATTTACATCAACTATCTCCAGCAATACTGCCATGTCTACTACCATCAAAACACACAAACACCACTTCCATCAAAACACGCAAGCAACAACAAAAAAACTGAAGAAAACCCCACATATTTACAAACAGACACAACTTGCAGGAACAGTTTAAAAAACACATTCATTTTGAAAAGAAAAAGAAAAGGAAAGGAAGAGAAAGTCAGAAAGAAAGAAAATTCAACTATATAGATTGGGATTTGAACTAAGGAGACTTCAAAGGCTGTTACTTCATTTGCAAAGGCATATACAAGTTTCTATACATTTTACAACTCTACCATACTGTTTCAGCAGAGTTCTTGCACATACAGTATAGGTTTTCTTGCTCAGAATTTCAACAGATTCCTAAATTTATGGTAAAATTTTCAATATTTTAATATAGAAATCCTCCCAAGAATTTAGTCACCCTCATTTTTTACGCCACTTTAGAAGAATTTTGCAGAGAGTACCATCAGCTCTTTGAGAGAAAGTTAAGATTTTACAAAGCTCTTAGTCCATTTAGTCCATTGTTTCCGTTATTTAGGCTACTAATTGAGCTTTAAATTGACTGCCATCTATTACCTACATGAAAATCAAGGATTTTTTTTTTTTTTTTTTTTTGTGACAGTCTCACCCTGTTGCCCAGGCTGAAGTGTAATGGCACGATCTTGGCTCACTGCAACCTCCACTTCCTGGGCAGTTCTCCTGCCTCAGTCTCCTGAGTAGCTGGGATTATAGGTGCCCACCATGATGGCCAGCTAATTTTTGTATTTTTAGTAGAGATGGGGTTTCACCATGTTGGCCAGGATGGTCTCCAACTCCTGACCTCAAGTGATCCACTGGGCCCAGCCTCCCAAAGTGCTGGGATTACAGGCATGAGCCACTGTGCCTGGTCATTTTATTTTCTTTATCCATTAGTTTGAACTGCAAAATTCTAATTTGTCAGAACATATTTATCATTCTACCCCTTTTAACACCTTTGTTTTAGCCTGGGATCTACGATTAAATATATTCAGTGTTCACTATCTTCCTTTGTCAAGTTTATTTAATAATCCCTAAGTTAGATATACTCATTCTCTTGTGAGTATAGTATTCACAAAATAATTTTAAGTTTAAAACTATGTCTTTATAATCTTGATGCCAGAAAGGTACCTTAGCTCATATAGTCTTTCCTTGCATTTTTTAAAAAAGGCTTTACTGCTGCTTTATTTTGACTATTGCTGTGAAGATTTCTCACGACAACCTAATTTTCTTTTTTCCTTTGTAAGTAATTTGATCTGTTTGCCTGAAAGTCCAGAGGTTTTTTTTTAAAATATCCTTAAGAACTAAAAATTTTTCTAGAACATATTTAAGAATTACCAAAATGTGACTTTTCAACATGTGGCTGAAGATCCTTATTTCTAAAAAACTTTCTTCAGTTATAACCTTTATAATTTTTTCTGTTGTGTTGTTTGAATTTTCTTCATTTCCTTCCCCAGTGGCACTTATATGCCATTTATAAAATACTCATTAGAATCTATTCTTCTGTAGCTACCTAATGGCTGATGCTTTGCTGCTGAGTTTGTTTTTCTTTTTCTTCTCTTTTCTGACCTTTTTAGATTTCATTTCACATCTTTGTATGCTTTCTCCATTGCTATTTTTTGTTTCACTGATTAGAAATATAATTTTTTAATATTTCCAGGTAATTCTTTAAAAATATATTTAAGACAGGGTTTTTTGTTTATTTTTGTTGTTGTTGTTTCTTGGTTGCTGTTTTTTTACTTACTTTTGGAAGGAAGAGAAATTTCATCAGTTGAAAATTTTTGCTGTCTGTTTTTTTTTCTTTCTATAAATTTGTATAGGTATTGCCAATGATTTTCTGTTCATTTTGAGGTACTAAGGTTTTCCTAAACAAGCAACCACCGGTGGAAGGTCAGAGAAAATTTTATTGCCTTTATAGATTTCTTCTTCATGAACATTGTCTTGTGTAGTTAATGAAAAAAAAACTTATTTAATTGGGGGTGTTTTTATATTTTGATATTATACGGTTTTCTGATATAGTGACTCTCTTTTTTTTTTCAGTAGGGCCTTTAATTTTAACCTTTTCATTCTTTTATTTTTCCTTTAGCCACAGAGCCACCAAAGAATTTTCCATACACTTCTAATTTGCCCCAGAAACCATATCTTCCCAAGACTGTTATATTTAGTCTCACATAATTTCAAACACCTTCTTTTCTATTTCATCTGTTCTTATATCTGTGCTCAATATTTCCTTAGACCTATTCTCAGTATCACTATGGGATTCTCATTTGTGGGTCTGATTTTATCCACTCTCAGCCGCTGCTAGGTCTCCCCCTCTCCTCCTGATGCACAGTCTCTGTCTGTCTTTCTAATTCAGTGTGGGCTCCAGAGCCAGAACTATTGTTACAGGTGTCATTTATATACTTTGCTGAGGTAATTTTAAATTTGTTGTATTGAATGTATTTTAGTTATGCTAAAAATGTTTTTGTGGGTAGTTATGCTGCTTATAATCTACATGGTTTTTAGAGATGTCTGTGTAGACTTGGATAGAGTGGAAGGGAAGGTGTTTGTGAGAGGTGATATTTTAAGACGCTACTTTAAAGAAATGCTAGAATAGGCCACTCTAGGATTTGATTTAGGAGAAATCCAAGCAAATAGAAAAGCAATCATAAATAAACTAAGTTAGAATATGCTGAGACTAAAAATAAGCAAAGAGACCAGCGTGGTTAAAATGGGAGATGTAAATGGAGAGTGGTAGATAATGAAATTTATAAGCTAGGTAGGAGGCTTGTTTTCTGTATCTATGGATTTAACCATTCTGGATATTTCATATAAAAAGAAACGTACAACGTGCAACCTTTTGTGGCTGACTTCTTTCACTTAGTTTTCGATGTTCATCCACATTGTAGCAGGTATCAGTGTATCATTCCTTTTAATGGTCAAATACTATTCCATTGCATGTATATACTATGACTTTTTAATGATTAATCAGTTGAAAGACTTGGGGTTCTTTTTATTTATTGGTCATTTTGAATAGTGCTACTATGAACATTCATGTAAAAGTATTTATTTGCATACCTGTTTTCAATTATTTTGAGTATAAGTTTCTATTTGAAAGTGATAAGTTATTTGAGAGTTCCGAGGAAAGTATCCATTTTGAAAAGATCATGCTTGCTGCTGCTGAAAGAATGAAAGCTGGGAAACGGGGAAGCAGGAGGTTATTGCAGTACTCTAAGTGACATACTACAAAGATGTGGACTAGGACAGTAGCAGGATTCACAGTGGAAAGTCAGAGAATTTGGTATAAAGTCTGTAGGCAGCACCAGCAGCACTTATTGAGTGAGTTAGTGAGAATATATGATAAATTATCATTCAAGAATAACTCCTAAATTTGTGGACTGAACATTTTGATGAATGACCATGTTATCTATTGAGATAAAAAATTTAAAAAATTAAGAGAGGAACAGGTTTATAAAGGAAAGTCAACAGTTCCTATTTTGAAACTGTCTATTCTGTCTATTCTTGTTAGACATCCCCATGAGATGGGTGTTGAATGAGTGAATCTGGAGCACAGTAGAAACACTGGTAAATTTACAAATCACTGGAACAGATGGAATCACATAAGCAGTGAGTGCCCTAAAGGCTAGGTCCCTAGATCATGTAGAAGTAAGAAAGAGATGCAAGAGATAGGCCTTGAGGTAGACAGAAAAAACAAAGACAAAGAAACAAAACCAAAAACTGAAACTAAAATGGGAAGCAAAGTGAAAAAAATACTTTCATGATTGACTAATGAATTGCTTGGGCCAAATTCTAATATAATATAAGGACAGAGAACTGGCCATTGAATTTGTCACAATGGAGATTATTAGCAACCTTGATAAGTACAATTTCAGTGGACTAGAGTTGGCTGAAGAGAGAAACACAAGTGAAGGAGTAGAGAATATGAGTCAGGACAGCTCATTTAGGAGTTCTGCTCTGAGGGGGAGTGGAAGATGTGACACTCATTAGAAGAGTACATGGTCTTCATTGATATAAGAGTGTCGTGATATAAAATAAGAGGTAGAACAACACTTTTGCCTGCTATTGGGAAGGATGCTGTAGAAAAGGAGAAACTCGGGATTCATAAGTGTGTGCACACACACTTGTAGGGGGATAATTGCAGGAACAGTGTACAAATGGCAGCAAGGCTTTAAGTACATGAAGATAGTTTAGGCTTTGCCATAGGTGGTAAATAAAGTGCATAGGCACAGATATAGCTAGGCTGATGGTGCTGGTGATGGGAAAAGGAGGCAGGACTCTACCAGTTGCTTCTATTTTCCAAATAAAATGAAGAACTCTAAGAAACTATAGGCACGTTGTTGATTAGGGTTGTGGACCCACTTGAGATAATGGTCATTAGACCATGATCAAATCTAAAGGTGAAAAAAAAAAGACTTTTTTTGGTCACTGTGGAAAGAATACAGGTGCTTCTTGTAATACAGGTTCATAATCTTTTATCAGCCTCTCCTAAAATGTGATATGTCTAATATTTGAAATCCTGGCAATATTTTGCATATACCACATTTTATATAACACTACCAGGAAAGTCTTGGGGCAGCATCCCATAATCAAGCATATTTTCTTATGTTTCCTTAGCAAAGATATCAATAGTCACACTAAGTATTGTAAATACACACAAATCCACCCACACACAAGCCTTACATTTTGGTTTGGCTTTTATTTTTAAAAAGTCAACACACTTTTAGTTTTCAGAAACTTTCAAATTTCACAATTGTAAAGTCCTGTGGATGTTTAATGTTCAGTATTTCCTTGGCCCACTAGTTGCTGAAGATGTTGAAACTCCAAGTACAAAAGTGTCTCTGATTAAATAGAGTTTTAGAAACACCACATACTAAGTCATATTCCTGGAGATTTCTGATGCACATTAGCATAAGCATTCTATAAAGACACAGCTGTTTATCTCTAACTCCTAAACAAACATTTCTTCAAGGTACCCTGACACCAGCACCGCTATTAACATGGCCAGACTAATTTTTCCATAAACTAGGATTGAAGAGCAAGTCAAAGATTGCTCAAAATAGTGAGGAGAGATAAGAAAAGTAATATCACAAATGTATGTAAATTATTCCCATATAAAATGCTTCCAGTAATTGTTTAGCCATAGCCATGGAAACTGAATATACTTATTCATGCCATATATTTCTCAATTTAGATAGATGTAGGCAGAAAAAGATATAAAGCAGTAGGACCATTTGTGTTAGACAGGTTTCCAGTTGTAAAATATGTTAAAGAAATCAAAATGTTTAAATGACTATGCATGTCTGAATTCATGGCTGTAAACAGTAATTAATCAATTAAACCTTTTACAAGTTTTATTTTTCAAAAAATTGCCCTGTAAAATCTGCCCTTTGAGAATAACTTTACTGAATAAAAAGATTAAATAAATAATTCTATAGACTGGCAGTTTGTATCATTTTGGTAGGCTGAATAACCACAAAGATATTTAAATGCTAACATCTTGGACCTATGGATGTTATTTTATATAGCAAAAGACACTGCCAATGTGATTAAGATTCTTGGGATGTGGAGATTGTCTTTGATTATCCAGGTGGATCCAAAATGTAATCACAAGTGTTCTAATAAGAGAGAGGCAGAGAGAGATCTGACAACATAAAAACAATTAGGAGACGTGAAGATGGAAGGAAAAGGATGTAGTCGTGTGTGAAAGGTGTCAGCAAACAAGGAAGGCAGGTGACCTCTAGAAGTTAGAAAAGATGAAGAAATGGATTCTCCCCTACAGCCTCCAAAAGAAGCCAGCCCTGTTGACATAAATGTTGGAATTCTGATCTCCAGAAATGTAAGAAAATAAAGCACTGTTTTATGCCACAGAGCCTGTGGTAATTTGTTACAGCCATCATAGGAAATAGTCTAATCATCATAATTTTATATTGGCTCTGTTTATATGAACAAATCAACTCTGAATCTATTTTTTATTTGACTACTTTCAAGTACCGGGGGGAAAAATAGAAAACAAAGCAGAAAATCATTTTTCATCTACTTAATTTGATATTTTCTCTTTTGACCAAATTTACTCTTTGCAGATGGGATAAATTATTTTCTAATTTCCAGGAATGTATGACACCGAGAAGGTTTAGACCTGTAAATATTTAGTGTCAACAATACTTAAAACAAAGATGGAAAACATGACCAGAATGAAGTCATCGGCCCATCAACTATGTTTTTTTTGGCTACGGTAAACAAGGTCTTTGTCTCTACATTATTAATTTGGCCTAGCAAGTATATTTTGTATTACAGTAGAACATCATGGTTAATTTTAATTTGGCCAGCTATAATAAAAATCGAATATTGGATTTGTTTTGTATACTAAAATTAATTTTTTCCATAAAATGTTAAATTATGAGGTGTCATTTTTCACATATAGCAGAAAAAAAGGATAAAATTATCATAATTTTTATTTATTATTTGTAAGATTGAGGAAAATAGTCACTCTTCCATACTATGTGAATGTACATTGGTAAGACCATGGGAAAAACAATGTAGCTGTACCACGTATATGAAAAGTTAAAACATTCACCTTGTTCTAAAAATTTTATTTCTTAGAAACTAGCTTACAGAATTACTTAGATACCTGCACAAAAAAGTGTGTAAAATTTTTTGTTTGATCACTGCTTGAAAAAAAATTGAAAAATGTAGAATTGGCCTAAAATAATTACCCTGGTGTCTATCCTTTATAATTTTGTGATATACAAAATAAAATATGAACTCATGAGACAGACATGCCATTCACTAGCATGGAAAATTGAAAATTTTGCTTAGCTCCTGTGAATTTTAGTTTTCTTGTTAATGCATTGAGACTAGTAATAGTTCATTGAAATGTTGAATGAATTTACTGACCCAGCACACAGCTGATAATGGCAGATTCTCTGTAAACATTTGCTTCCCTCTCTTTCCTTTAACCCATGACCATCATTCATTTGGATATTAAATGTTTCAATACAAATACTATAAATATCTCTAAATACTTTGTATAGTTTTCACAGTACCAGCTAAATACAGGAAAATTTTAATTTTGCTTTTATGCAGATTTAACAAGTAAAACACTCACTATTATGCAAAGTATTTGATATCTTATTTATTCCTATAAGTAGCAAGTTCTAGCAGATAGTACAATAGCTTTGACTCCTATAATAATTCATATTATTCATTTACATATTAATCCAACCAAAATTCCGTAGCCTAACTGTGACACTTGGTTCCTCTCTCCTTGTTCTATCATAAGCTTATATAATCATCACTAATGAAATTGGAGGGCGTGTGTTGAAATGAAGTTTACTGTGATTGTATTTCATAAAACAAAAAAGACAGCTTATATACTTGTGTGTTTACACATAACATTTTTATTTTTTAAATAAATTATAGTTTCATGATATGTAAATATTAATTTGAAATTAAAGTGTATGCTGAATATAGGGAGGAAAAATTGTAATCATTGTGTAATATTAAACATGTATTTGCTGACATAACATTATTAAGCCAAATAAATATGTTTTCATCAGGAGCTAGATGTTTAATTACTAGCAAAATCATTTTACTCTTGTATTTTCTAATTTAATGAAATACTGCTATTTATTTTATTTATCTACTTATTACTTTTTTGCTTCTCTCAAAATTATTTTATTTTATTTTAGATTCACAGGGTATATTTAGTTACATGGTTTGTTACATGGGTGTATTGTGTATTACTGAGGTTTGGACTTCACCCAAATAGTGAACTTAGCATCCAATAGATAGTTTTTCAACCCCCTTCTCCCACCCACCCTCCCCAATTTTAGAGTCCCCAGTGTCTATTATTTCCATCTTTATGTCCATGTGTACCCTTAATGGAATATTTAATTGATAAAAAATAAAAACTACTTGACATACTTATTATGGTTTAACAAAGTATGAAACATATATAGAAAAATATTATAGGTAAATTGCTATTAAATCAAATTATTAGTTTTTAATATATAAAATAGTTACAAGGTTATTCTGCTGTGCTAGAGCACTATTAACAAAATAACATTTTAATTTTTTATAAGTTACTATGCTTCTTTGAATCAAAGGATGATACCTTTATTTGATCATATTGGGGTTAGATTATTTTTAATAAGCTATAGATTTTTCTTCTAGTAAAATAAAAGTTCTGCCAGAAAGGGCAAGAGGGCAGCAACAACAAAAAAGGTATATCAGAAACTTCATCTAATAGCTCCAATCATGGTATTCAATAATTCTCAGCATGTCTTAAATTTATTTTGAAAATCTGATGTCAGATTATTTTAAATATAATTATTATGTTAAGAATTATGTAAAGACCCTGGCTAATAGTGTCTTTGATGACAAAACAAACAAACAAACAAAACACTGTTACTATTCTCACTAATACATATATTATTTCCCAAGTTAGTAAATTAAATAGTTACTGAGTTATTAACTCTTCTAAGTACGAGAATTTTTCACAAAAGACTATACATTAAGCATCTCGGCCAATGGAAGCACCTTTCTTAAAGCCCTGAGGATACAAAATATTTTTATTTTTCTCCAATGAGATTGTTACATTTAACTGAAATTCTCATATAAAAATGCAAACAAGTTTCCTTTTTATTATTCTTTAGAATTCTCTTTCAGAATACCTGGGAGAATATTATTTGACCAATATAGGACAAACTGTTCCTGATGAATAAAGTTCGTATCTAGCTGAGAATAATAAAATCCTGTCATATTTTAAATATATCTCTAATGAAAATATAAACTAGTAAAATCTTTTTGGAGAGCAATTCGACAGCATGTATCAGCAATCTAACAAATTTATGCTCTTAATCCCAGCAATTATATATCTTATGGCTGTCTTGAAAAAAATATATAACGGTCAAAAGAAGCTGTGATCAGAGATTTTATTTCTTTGTTGTTTATGATAGCAAAACTAGGAAATGATTCAAAAAATCTATGCTAAAGGAATAGATTTATAACTCATTTTGCATTCAACCTGTTGAAGTTTACTTTTATAAAAGGACTAATAAAATTATGCAGTAACCTGAAAAATACTAATAAGTAAAAAATATAAGATATAGCAACTTTAGAATATATATTACTCCCACACTAACCTTGATAGTCTATAGTCTGTTTTTATTCATCTTTATCTTTATCAGAGGGTGACCAACTATCCCAGTTTGCCAAGGACTAACAGGTTTCCCAGAAGGTGAGTATCCTGTTAAAAATCTGTTAAAAGCAGGAAAGTTCCAGGCAAACTGGGAAAATTGGTTACTTTACTTTGTAAGCCTCTGACAAATGTTTGATAAATTAATTAATAAATGAAGACAAAGTTCTATACATGGTGCAATTACAAATGTCATACATGTTTGCACTGCATAGAAAAGTACACAAGAATAACGCATGCAAATTTTGACAGTGGCTAGGCTAAGAATTAAGGATGATTTTCTATTTTCCTACCTTTCTATGTATTAAAAGTTTTATACAATGAGCTTTCATTTCCTATGGAAAAAAATAGTACATTAAAAACACACTTAAATTTTGAGCAACAGTTTGAGACACCAATACAATAAGGACCAGCCAAGAATATTGTCACAAAGAACATTTTAAAATAAAAGACCTCAAGCTATATCATAATTTTCTACAAATCATTATTGATCACCATAGCAGTCTCTGAGTCCAAAAAAATAAATTCTAGAAGGGAAATTTTAAATCTAAGCATAGCTTTACCATGAAATGATTGCAATTAATGTGAATATTAGTTAAATAATATTTTTTTAAATGATCCTCTTTAACATAAATAAAACGCCATCAAATTTTTAAAAAGTGAGCTTATTGGGTTTTAGAAGAAAAAGAAATTATCCCATACATTAATTCTTAATGATTCTATAGTCATGGACCCTCTTGAAAAAAAAAAATCTGACAAGAGCTATGGACCCTCTTCCCAGAAAACACATACACATATAACATTCTGTAAATAATTTCAGCTTGTTTGAACAATAATACTGAATATATTTGCTATAAACATGCCAAAGAAAATCAATTTCCTCCCTTCTGAATATAAAATCTCATGCATGTGGTACTACACTGCAATTAACTGAAACCACACACATTTGGAAACTTAACTTTCTTAAAGGCAAGAACTCTGTAGTCCCAATAGCCTCAATTAAATTTCGAAGCAACTCATACTTTAATTTGAAAATCCAGGAAAACACAGAAAGAACATGTTCAGAACTTCTATTTCATTATGATGTAGAGAATATAATTTTCTTTGATTAAGATCAGTGAAAATAGTTCAAAATACATAAATAAATAATACTGTAAGCCAATAAAAGGTAACCAAGGAAAGATAGTTATTTTAATAATGAAATGATTTCAATGTAATGTATATTCCAAATAATTGATTATGAGAAATTAAGAAATGATTTCAATGTTTGCCTAGTTTCATTAATTTCAAGGGAGCAAGTTCTGGAGTTTTTAGAGTAGAGTATGAACTGTCAACCCAAATGTCTACATAACCATAGGATTGGTTCAGGGGAGTATATGAATCAAGTTAGTCTAATTATTCCAAAGTATTTGAACTTAAGGGAAAATAAAGCCATAGCTTTTAGGAGCCACCAAGAAGGACTCCATAAGATATGTCTGATATGTGATTTGACAAATTTTCCTGGAATTCACGATATGTGAGTAATAAATACATTTCATTATGTTTTGCTGTTCTTTTAATTTTTTCCATGAGCCACTAAGAGTTAGATTTTCTGATATTTTTCAACATGAAGGGTCTTAACTGCTGTGCTGGTATCACACAACTAGTAAGTGACAAAGCTAAAATTTCAATGCAGGACTTCAAACTCTGAAGCCTATAGGATTACTTGAAAACCATTATTTTATAAAAGAAGAAACTGAGAATCAGAGCGATAAAATTATTTTCTCAGTGTTTCCTAAAACCATTAGGCCTTCACTGCTGTGAGGCCAGACCACTGCCTTCATTTCAGTCAGCAGAGACACAATCCATATCCTCTTCAACTTCCCTCAGCTACCTGAGGTTAAGGATGTGCTATAACAATTTCTTCCAAGAAACTGTTTCTTTCTAACACTATCAAAACAAAATAATGTGTGTCTCCTTGCTTTTCATGAGTTAATAATTTATATCTCCAAGGACTGCTGCACTAGGGTCTCTGATCTTATGAGGAACCCTCTCCCACTCCAAGTTATTTTATCACATAGGGTTACACAGACTTAGAGAGAGTCTTAGGATCAGAGCTCAGGTTCCTTGGGTTCCTGTATCTTACTCTTCTGACTATATCAAACTTTCAGCTCACACATTATGAGTAGACATGAACTCCTTTCACTCAAGGATAATGCTTCCTAACACACTAGCTCTTTCACAGCCTTGACACATAATGATTTTGTTGTGGTAGTGTTAAGCCTAAATGTTGCCACATAACTCCTACTGTATCACCTACTACATCTCAATTATTAATAGGCAAAACACCTGAAGTGAATATAGAAATATTATTTTAAAGATATAAGATGTCAAACATGATGATGCTTTTTGATAATCATCAAGACAGCAGTTGGTACCTAACGTATGATGGATAAACCTCTTTCAAGGCTTTCAGAGTTTTAGCAACATGGTTCACTTTTAAATAGCCATATTTGTTATGAGATAATCCTCTGGATAGGACAGGCTGCTTGCTAACTGTCTATCTGGTAAGAGTGTGAGAGACAGGAGCAGAAAGGGTCAACTGGAGAAGCATAATGCATTTGCTGCCAGCCTGACACTTATAGCAATGCATTTAGACTCTTATATTTGCTACAAGACATTAGGCCTGCTCCAACGGGTGCCAGAAGTCATAATGACCTCTTGTAAGTACACTATCATTTCAGACCTTGAAAATATCTCAGAGAAAGGTAATTTACTAGATGGAATCTGAGTGATCTAAAAGAGTTTAGAATTTTCCGGCTCCTGACTTCTCATTCCCCATCTCCAACATGTAGAATGAGGATTTTCAGCACATCAATCTCCTGAAGACATCAGTAATGTACAATGCAATGCAAATGTACACTGTAGTGTTAAGGTTGACCTGTTTCCCCATGTTACAGACCCAGACACAGATTTGAGGTTTATGTCTTCTGTGTTACTGTTTCAGCCATGAGTTAAAGAAACATACATGCATATACACACACGTGAGTGCTTGGGCAAACATATGTATAATATGATATGATAAAAATAAATAATTAAAAACCTTTTAGTAGCAAACATCGAAATAAGATTATTATTTTTTATTTTTTTTATTTTTTTTTTTAGAAAGAGAGAGAGTCTTGTTCTGTCAACGAGGCTGTAGTGCAGTGGCATAATCTTGGCTCACTGCAACCTCTGCTTCCCAGGTTCAAGCCATTCCCCTGCCTCAGCCTCCCAAGTTGCTGGGATTATAGGCTCCTGCTACCATGCCTGGCTAATTTTTGTATTTCTAGTAGAGACAGGGTTTCACCACATTGGCCAGGCTGATTTCAAACTCCTGACCTCAGGTGATCCACCCACTTCAGCCTCCCAAAGTGCTGGGATTACAGGCATGAGCCACTGTGCCTGGCCAAGATTAATGTTTTAATGACATAACTCTATGTTACCATGTTTAGAATAGAAAAAAAAAAACTGTTTAAAATCATGACAGGTGTCATTACAGTATGGAATAGCAATGATCAGTAGAATATCAAGTCTTCCAAAACCAAGAAATCAAAAAGATAGGAGAAATGCTTGCATTTTTAATCAAGCCCAGATACTTTAACATATTGTAGCATTATCTGAGAAGTCTAAAAGATAGAGAAAATGCTATAATTGTTTATTGTGCCCAGATATTTTGGCATACTGTAGCAATAGTAGTCATTTCCAGATGACATGAAATGATATCAAAGTAATGCCATATATAGTTCAGAGAATAAAAAACTGAATACATTAATACTATTACATTTTTACTATTACAATGTTATTATTACAATATAAATTTTGGTATTGTGAAACTCTTACTTATACAAGGCCCTACCTTATTACTTCACTTCAGTTAAAATCACCTCTTTAGCTTTTCAAGATATATTAAAATTCCATATCTCTTTTTCTAGAAAACTAGCTCTTCTCACAATGGTATGATCCTTTTGGGTTTCAAATAGTAAAAATAATTAAAAAGAGAATATATAAAGCATCTAACACAGTGTGTGCCAGTGGCCAATGTGCAATATAATTTGAGTTTTCTCCCTCCTCACTCCATCTTCCCACAATGCCACTCAAATGCACAAACACATTTTTAATGACACATATGAAAGGAGAGAATTAGAGGAGGGAGAGAGAGAATAAAGAAGAGAGATGTATCCACTTGTGAGGAAAAGTGAGCCAATAATCTCACCTCTACTGATAAGCATAAAATTTGTATACACTGAGAAGGAAGAAATGTCTCTGCCCACTAGAGGAGGGAGGTCTCTAGAGCTAAGGGCTGAGATGATATGCTTTGGCTGCAATTCTGAAATAGAACTTGTGAGAAAGGCAAAGGCAAACCTTTTATTCCTCCAAGGACAGTTGTGTGTTGGCTGTTTAACAACCAGCTTTCTTAGAAAAAAAAAATACATGTTTGCAGAATTTATTGATTTCTGTAGTGTAAATACTCCCACTGTGGCTGGCTATCGATGTGAAGTCACCAAACAGAGTTGGGAAATATGCCTGTGTGAGCTGGCTCCAACATACACTGTAGCATAGGTTCTCATTCACCAGGTTCTCACCACAGGATTTGGTTGCATCCAGGGAATATACCAAAATGCCTTCGTTGGCACCAATGTGAAAGACTGTGTGGTGTTTGCCTTTAAAACATGGCCTTTCATCAACTTGAGTTATTGATCAATTTGGGGTCCCAGTTCTATATGTTGCATGTGTTGAACATCAATTGAGAGCCAGCTTTTCTTGTAAAATATAAGAATTAAGAACAATGATAGGGTGGGCATGGTGGCTCATGCCTGTAATCTCAGCACTTTGGGAGGCCGAGGCAGGCAGATCACTTGAGACCAGCAGTTCAAGAGCAGCCTGGCCAACATGGTGAAATCCCATCACTACTAAAAATACAAAAAAATTCCCCTACTTGGGAGGCTGAGGTAGGAGAATCACCTGAACCCAGGAGGCAGAGGTTGCAGTGAGCCAAGATCCCGCCGTTGCACTCCAGCCTGGGTAACAAGAGCAAAACTCCGTCTCAAAACAAACAAACAAACAAACAAACAAAAACAATAACTTAAAGTGCGAAACATGTTACATGATTCTAAGGATTTGTTGTCTAATATTAAGATCACTGAGTTTATAAAACAAACAAATTGGAATATAAGGTTTTAAATCTATTTATGTAGCCCTACATCTTTTGGGCCTCATTGCTATGTTTCAGTTTGCTTTTTTCCTTCCTCCATTTCTGCATCTATTCTAATTTCCTTATTTAAATGCAATTCTGGATTGGTTTCCATGTCCTTCAAACTGCAAAGGACATATCTTCAAACACCTGCAACCTTCAAAGACAATCTCATTGTATCCTCAGACACTGGATAAAAGATGAGGAACAGAACAGGGGTTTGCTTCTACTGGCCCCTGAAATGATATGCTGACTGGAAAAACAAATCAGTTCTATTCAGTAATGTTTATAATTTAAAGATCTTTACTGAAACAATCCTGGGAACAAGGATACAAGAAAACATAAATGTGACTTATATCATATTTAAATTATAGCCACACTCTTAAGATCACAAGTCTTATAAACTGCTTTATATCTAGGACCCTCCAACAAATGTCTACCTGACTCATAATAGATACTTAACAAATAGTGTTGAACAAGTAAGTTAATTCAATGCTCTGTAGTCTTTGAGGTTGTCCAAATTTCACAGAATAATCAGTGACCTGAGATCTATGTGGAAACAATGGGTCAGTCATTTTCTTAAACACCTAACCATCCTCTCCAAATTGCCTATGTAAAGAACACAGTATCATGACTAGATTGAAAGAGAAATATGGGAGAAGAGATGGAGATTAATTTTAACATTAATTTATTTTGGGTAAAAAGAAATATAGGCATAACTCCACAATATTGAAAAATTTTGTATTCCCTATTATTTAATAGTTTTATAATAGAAATATTACATCCACACATAAGTTCACATTGGGTAAGAAACAGAGGTGAGGTAAGTAGGGACAAGCACACATAAAGTTCACAAATGTAAGGGAAGAGAATACTGTAAATTTACTCAGAAAGTAACTGCATTCAACAGAAAGTTTTTTGTTTTTTTTTTTTAATGCTACTATTATTTTTGGTACTTACAATGCTTTGTTTTTCAAGAATAGCCAAATGAATTTTATACCAATCATCTTGGGCAATTCTTTTATTATTATTATTGTAAATGCAAAATCAAGTACAAACAAAAAGAAGAAAAAAAAATAGCCACTCTCAAGTAAGCTAGCAAATGTCTCGCAAGGCCATCTGTTCCAAGCTCAAAGCACTGTAATTCGATGGATACACAAATGCTGCATTTAATTTTTCAACCTGAGCATATTGATTATTTTATCTAATATGCTGCAGAGTGAAGCCAGTAAGCCTCACTCTGAAAGTAGCTGCAATGGAAAGTGACAAGAGTTTTATTACTGCTAGAAGGTACCTAGCAGAGCTCTGGGAAAAATTACAGATTTCCAACGCAAAGAGGTCATAAAAATTTATGAGACACAACAAAGAGGAGAAAAGGCAGACAGCAGCAGGAAACGTGAAAAATTCTGAAAGGCATCTCAAATATAAGTTTAATAATGTTCAAGTCTGTGACATTTCATTATTATCTACTGGTAAATATAGAGGAGAGGCAGGAAGCATTTATTGCTCACTGGACTACAAAAATCTATTGTTTTACAGGTAAAATCAAAGGCAGTCATGTGCCAGCATGTTTGATCCAAGCTTAAATGGAAATTCTCACAAATAAAGATGAGTTTCACTAATGTGCACTAATTATTCCTTATTATATAGAAGTCACAATATGAAATTGCAAAATATAATACTGAAGATAAAGGAAAATGGAAAAGATACATTGCATTTTATAAAGATAATACCCCAAATAAAATAACTCCAGATAATACTTTAAAACTACAAAACTATACTATCAGTGCCTAGCTATTATATAAAATAATTCAACACATTTGAGGCTCCAGGGGTCATAGAATTGTTGCATTATTTGTGCACCTAGAAATGATGAGGAGTTGTGGTAAATAAATCTGAAGTTGCCATGAAACAATATTTATCATCCATTCTCAGAGACATCACTATAATGCCCCCCTCTGACCTAAATTTTGTGGTTAACCTTTGACCCACTCATAAAAGTGGTTTGGAAAAGTCCCGTATTTACCTTATGAGAATGGCTCATCCTCTGAGATAAATAGTGAAAATGTAAAGATACATGGTCTTACAGGCAACCCAGTTCTTTAAACTGGGTTTGCCTTCTTCTACCTGATGCAACTTTGTACAGAAAAGGAGTCATCGTTACTGGGTATCCCCACTGACTTTCCTGAAATGTTACAAAGGTGCAGGGCTACGAGACAGTGCAATTTACCTTTGCCAATGTACCTCTTATTCCCCTCACATACGTTGATATAAAGTATTGGAAAATACATTTTTGTATTTAAAAAAACTTCAAAAATATCACTCCTATGTATCCTGTAATGTGGTAATGTGTTTTGTTTGTTTGTTTTGGTTTAAGAGTAAATTTCAAAATGTCATTTGGATTTAATTCCTAACTTTTGTGTATTTGTACTCAGGCCTAAATTACTCGCAGGTGCAGCTGTCAGTCTCCTGATACTTTTTAGTTGTTTTAAATTTAGTTTTTATTCATTAATTTTCTACAACGTTTGGCAAGCGATAAAATCCTTTTTAAGAAACTCAGATCTACAAATGTGTAGCAGATCTCAGAAAAGCATTTTCCTTGCTTTTTAATTGTTGCCTATCCTATACTTAGCAACATTCTTTAACTTTGTTTACTGCTTATAAATAAAACCAACTTGAGACATTCGATTCACATTCTATTTACCCTTTGGGTGGTTAAACAGCATTAATTATTTGCACGGAGATGGTTTATTAATTTCTATGGTGTGGACTTCGTCAGATAATGATATCTCATTTACACCACATTTATTCCAATTCATGATTTCACACTTATCGTCAGTTTGATAGCTTACTATGCTTTACTCTGAGATTCAAAAACAAAGACTACAGTAATTTTTTTGGCCTACTTTTATGTTTTGCCAAGAGTGTCCTGATAGTCTGTATATGTCCTTTATAAATCCCTTTTATTGAATCTTCAAGAGTATTGCAAACCATGATTATTACAGCCCTGCAAGATTCTGAGCTTTAAAATTTAAACAAAGTCAGGGTTTCACACCAATTCTCTGTGTGACTTGGGTTAATGCTTAATATTCATAAATCTCAGGTAATTTAAATTCATAAAAAATAATGAAACAATAATACCCTATTCACAGAGTCATTGTCCGTAATGCAGAAAATATATAAAGAGTTTAGTGTAATTCTTGGCATATTGAGCTGACATTCAAGATGGCTACCATTATCATCATTATTGCCCACTTTTCATAATAGTAATTTTGTTATAGTATTCTTTAGTAACAATACTACAATATGTGTGCTAGAATAATTTGAACTAAAGTACATTCAGACTTGTCTTTTTTAGAGCTATCATGCTTATGTTTTTACTTTTCTAGAGGGCAATGGAAATTGTGTTTGTATATTTTCAGTAGTCACCATCAAATCCGTTTCTAGGGCTGTCATCTTTTGTTCTTTCATTTAGGTCTCTGTGTCTGTGAAAGTATTGGACTTCATTTTTTTTTCTTCAGTCATTTCAAATTATCATGATACAGGGTATAATATTTGCAATGTAAATATACGTAGCATTTACTAACACATTAAAAATGGCCAGAAAATGTGATGGGTGTGGTGGCTCACCCCTGTCATCCCAGCACTTTGGGAAGCTGAGGCGGGTAGATCACCTGTAGTCAGGAGTTCAACACCAGCCTGGCTAACGTGATGAATCCCCGCACCGTCTCTACTAAAAATACAAAAATTAGTAGGATGTGGTGGCGTGCACCTGTAATCCCAGCTACTCAGGAGGCTGACAGGAGAATCTCTTGAACCCAGGAGAATCACTTGAACCCAGGTGGCAGTGAGCCAACCTGGGTGACAGATCAAGACTCTATCTCAAAAAAAATTATACACACACACACACACACACACATATATATATATATATATACACACACATATCTACGTACATATATATATACATATATCACACACACACACACACACACACACACACACACACACACACACACACACACAGAAAATGTTAAGATGAATGCCACTCTATTTTGGACCCATGTATTTTTGCTATACACCAACATAAAGAAGGTTACATAAAAAATTAAAGAACTTAGCCTATTTCCACTTCCAAGTGTTTGCTATCAAATGTCTTTATTTTGTTTGATTACTGTGAAAGTATTTTCCAAAGCCAGACAAGTGCTATGCTCTCTTTTTTAACACGGAGATTTCAGTAAATTCCTCCCATCTAGGTTTTTCTTTCAATTCCTGATGCCTAGTTCTTAATAAAGTGAACATTTTAAATAAATGTTCTTAGAATCTTACAATATTTCTGTATGTTTTTTCTTTCTTTCATATAAACGGATGTTTTTGTCTTAGCTCAATTTTCAAAACATTCAGTAAAGAGATGTAGCATCTGAAAGTCATATGTCACCCAGATAAATTATGATGAATTGTGTGAAAGATTTTGGCTCAATTGTTAACAGGTTAATATTATGGTACTTTAGTGCAGCAGATGCATATATTGGTGTGTAATTTATTTGGGGTCATAAAATGTTACCTTTTATTAAAATTAGCTCTGTCATGACATTAAAAATTTCAGACCAGAGCAGCTGTGTTGATAATTAGTAAAATGACATCAAATACTAGTTATACATTCACTTATACAGCTTAAAACCTATCGTACCTTTTTTTTATTGGGATGCAAACCTTGAGAAAATCTAACTTATATGATAAGCCATCTCGGTGAAGGAGTCACCACCTCCTTCATAAAAGCTGCATTAACTTCATGTCCCTCTCATTCTATTTTGTGGAATATTTTGCATGTTTACATATACATACATATGTGTACATATACATATATACACACACATAAACATGCACACACATATAAAATAGCTATGGGATTATTATTATTATTTTTTTTTTTTTTTTTTTTTTTTTTGAGATGGAGTCTCGCTCTGTCACCCAGGCTGGAGTGCAGTGGCATGGTCTTGGCTCACTGCAACCTCCGCCTCCCGGGTTCACGCCATTCTTCTGCCTCAGCCTCCCGAGTAGCTGGGACTACAGGCGTGTGCCACCACACCCGGCTAATTTTTTGTATTTTTAGTAGAGATGGGGTTTCACCGTGTTAGTCAGGATGGTCTCCATCTCCGGACCTCGTGATCTGCCCGCTTCGGCTTCCCATGCCTGGGATTACAGGCTTGAGCCACTGCACCTGGCCAGGGATTTTTATATATACTTAAAGATCATTGTTTATATGTTTAGAAATTGAAGTTGACCTAAAATATTATAGGAAACACAGAATACCTTGATACTAATTATGAGGCTGTTTCTCTTCATGTATCAGTTATGCCATTTTCTCTTTAGACCTTACAGTTCCCAAATAGAGTGAATAACACACCACATGTTTTCCTTTGTCAGTTTGTTTATTCCACAATTATGCTATTTATCATATTATTGTTAGAATTTATCCATTTATTTTTCTATATTCTTCCAGGGATTTTAATTACTTCTAGGATAGGGACCATAAGTTAAGCCATTCCATAAAACCATGATCAATCTTTTTCGTGTCTATAAATTGGGTAATCCAGTTAAAATGTAATAAATACCATGATAAGCAGCCTGTAGGATTGTCCCCAATGATCTCTGATTCATGGTTGTGCAATCCTCTCTCTTCAAGTGAGATCTGGATCTAGTGACCTGTTTCTAATGGATAAAATATAGCAGAAATAAGGGATGCCACTTCCAAGATTAGATTACAAGAAGAGTCTGGCTTTTGTCTTGCTTCCTTTTTCTTGCTGTCTGACTTGCCCACACTCAAGGAAATCAGTTGCTATGTAGTGAACTGCCTTAGAGAGCGATTCACACTGGTTTTCAGCCACCAAGCAGCAAGGAACTGAAGCCTTAGTACAACAGTCCTTGAAGAGCAAAACCCTGCCTACCACCTGTTTGAGCTTAAGAGTTGATGCTTCCCCAGTTGAGCCTTGAGATGGCTGAAGCCCTTACTGATATCTGGATTATAGCTTCTGTAATGAACCCTGAGCCAGAAGCACCCAGCTGAGCCATTCCTGGATTTTTAACTCAAAAAAACTATAAGGTAATATGTTTGTGGTTTTAAGTTGCTGAATTTTGGAATAATGTGTGACACAGCCATAGATAACCAATATGAATAGTTATTGAATAAATGAATTGAATAAATAAATAATTGAATTGATCAATTAATGTAAATTTTAAGTCTGTAACACAATATGCACTGAAGAAAAAATGTCATATCACTGAAATCCCTCAAACATCTCATGAGGAAGCACAAAACATAACATCTATGTGATATTAGCAGATATCTAATTAAATATTGCCTTATTACTCCCATTCTCGGTACCATATAGTATTTGTATTTTAACAGTTATAATTAGAGAGAGTTGGCATTTGCCAAGTTCTACAAGTATATATTTTTTGTTTTAATATTCTGAAAAAAATGACAATCTCTAAGTCTAAATTCATTCAATAAAATATTTCAAAAACCATATCATCTCATTAGAAGAAAAAACTATAATTACTTTTTCTAGCATCAATAGGATTTATTTTTTCTTTTCATTTATTTATTTCTTATTTTTATTTTTTTTTAATTATACTTTAAGTTTTAGGGTACATGTGCACAACGTGCAGGTTTGTTACATATATATACATGTGCCATGTTGGTGTGCTGCACCCATTAACTCATCATTTAACATTAGGTATATCTCCCTAATGCTATCCCTCTCCCCTCCTCCCACCCCCACAACATTATAAATAATAGTTGTTGAAACAAAGGAACCTCACTGTTCTGGCAATTTCACTGAGTGTACACCATTTAGGCTGCACTACAATTTCTCAGTGAAGCCATTACATGAAGAGTTACCCTTCTGTCTTGTGCTGTGGCTATCAACATTGCCTGTACCTTCTTTAATGGTGAGGAAGTTCAAATCTTAGTTCCATTTCCCATTACTAAAAAAAAATTTTATCAGTCACCGTATTTTAGAGATTCTGATTTCTTACTCGTAAGTTTAGTATAACAGTAATTTCCTTTCTGAACCAGGAGAGCTGGCAAAAAATCAGTACTTGATAAATGAAAATTAATGTAAATCAGTTATAAATAGACACAATAATATTTGCACAGTTTCCATCCTTTGTTAAGAATCTACTCTGAAATTTCACACATAAAACTTTGTTCAAGGGTATACATTATTTTTCTATTAACTCCTGGAATATTTCAGGTTTGAGGCTTTTGGGGGACAAAAAGAAGGAAGGAAAGACCCTATACCACTCAGTTTCTGTCAACTCACCAAGCTGTCCACATTTTCTAAGAGCTCTCAACTATGTTAAGCAATGAATCTTTGAGGACAAGGACTTTATTTATCTTTACGTTATCTTCAGAACATAAGAACTTAAAAATATAAATTATTTTATTGTTATACAGTATTTATAATATTTAGTCCTGTTCTGTTACAGCTTTTTAAAAAAGTCTGTATTTTGAAATAATTTTAGACTTACAGGAAAGTTGCAAATACAGTGCACAGTTCATATATACCCCCTAGGCAGCATTCCTTTATATTAATAAATTACACAACCTTAGCACAATCATGGAAACCAGAAAGTTAACATTGCTACACTATTCGCCAGTGGTGTGCTACCAAAGTAGTTTTCTAGGGTTGGGAGGAAGTAACCCTGACTTTCAGTATTTGCCACTTTCCTTGTTTTCCTGTGCCTACCATGACCAACATTTAAATAGAAAGAATTTCTGTGGTTAAACCCTATATCTCATTGTGCAGAGAGGTATAAAGTAGACCCTCAACACATATATTTTTCACTTTTTCTTGACTTATTGGCTGATTTAATCAAAAAATAGACTCTTTATTGAAAATATTTTACCTCTTATTAATACAAATAGTATTCTTCCTAGAGTTTCTCACTTTCAGATGTATCAAATTTCATCTTGATATTGGCATGGATTATAAATATAGTCCATCCTTCTTCAGATACTTTTCCCTTGAGGATAATGAATTTGAAAATGGGGGCTTATGTATGACATTTAATCTATAGTCCATCAACACTGATCAATGCAAACCAGATTCAGGGAAGTGATCCATGTCCCCAAGCAAATATAAAAATCAATTTTACCTGTTCCACCAATGCATGCCTTGGCTGTGCTACATTTTCAATTTTCTTTCATTTTTTGAAAACTGCTCATAAGTTATATGCATGAGAATGTAGGAATTAAGCAGACGGTGAATTGAGAGCTGCTTTAATGAAAATGTATTATAGATGCTTTCCTCCTCAGATGTAGAACCTATCACATATATAATCTATGGCAATATTTCAGTCAGCTTCTATAATTGATGTATAACTTCAATAGGAAGTTCAAACTCTGGAAGATAACTTGTGGCTGAGTGACAACATCTGACTCAATCATAAGCGGAATATTTCTCAAATTTGTGGGAATGTTACAGTTCGCCTTTGGGTATTGAAAAGAGTGTAATATCTTAACCCCTTTAAAGGACAAAGTCATCAAAAATGTTACCTTCATTCATTCTGGAAATAAAAATCATGCAGTAAATCATTTTTTTGTCATGCTTTCAGGAGAGAAGAGGGGAGAGAAGAACGTTGACTAGAGATAAAGGAGACCATATAAAAAATATTTTTACCGGCCGGACGCGGTGGCTTACGCCTGTAATCCCAGCACTTTGGAAGGCTGAGGCGGGCAGATCACGACGTCAGGAGATCGAGACCATCCTGGCTAACACGGTGAAACCCCGTCTCTACTAAAAAATACAAAAAAATTTAGCCCGGCATGGTGGCGGGCGCCTGTAGTCGCAGCTGAGGCCAGTCCTCAGCTGAGGCTGAGGCAGAAGAATGGCGGGAACCCGGGAGGCGGAGCTTGCAGTGAGCTGAGATCGCGCCACTGCAGTCCAGCCTGGGAGACAGAGCGAGACTCCGTCTCAAAAAAAAAAAAAAAATTACCCTTATTTTGGATTAAATATATAAGAAATTATAAAAATAAAATATCATTTGGCAAAAACCACGGTAATAATTGTTGCAGATGAGACTATCATTGGATGCTGAAATCAGTGAGCAAACATTTGAGGAGAAACAAGGTATCAGGCTGTTGTTACAGTCTCAAAAACTTCCCCCTCATATGTTTTTCCAATACAAAGAGGAGAATCACAGTGTTACAGTAAAGAAAAACTGTTAAACGTAGTTAGTCAAGGTTAATACAATCAGTAATAAGACTTGTTAATATTATGTAGTCCTACCAAGAAGCAGTGAGAGAAAAAATATCATTTCTATGATATTTTATTGCCCATACTGTATAATCCAAATTTAATTTTAAAGCTAATATTGAAAAAGACTCAACAAAGAAGCTAGCTGACTACTACTCATTAAAATTGTCAAGACTGGGAAAAAAAAAAAAAGAAGTTGAATATTGGAGGAGACTCCAGAGACCAAACACAATGTGCAATGTCAGATTCTAGAACAGAAAAGGACATCTGGTGAAATTCAAATAGTCTTTAGTTTAGCTAATGGAATCAGTAGGCTATTCACTTCTCTTGGCCATGGATTCCTTACTCGAAATGAGGAAAATGGTCATCTCTACCTCGGAGGTTTATGGTGAAAACAAAGTGAGATAATAGATGTATCCATGCATGGTACCCAAATGAGTATTAGCTGTACTGCAAATGATGGAGCAACTGTACTGTGTCCAAGACACAAAGATACAAGCCAGTCTTTCTCTAACAAAGAGTAAACAAGCTATATCACAGAAAAATTGTATGTAGACAGGTAAAATATCTTTCTGCAATGATATAAGCTGTTCCAACTTTCCCTCTTCTTGAGGTAATAATTCAAAATCTGTGAGGAGGTCACGTTAGTGACAGGCTTTCTGCACTTTCTGTTTCTGTTCAAAGACTGATGTAACTCTATGGTGGCAGAGGAAAAATGTAGTAGAGGAATAGTATGAGTTTCCAGTAATTTAGAAAAAAGAGACAAGTACATATGAGAAAAATAGAAGGATGACAATGTTTTTATATATCATGTAAACTGGCTAATTGTGAAAGTCAATTTTGGTTCATTATGAAAAATATTTATAGCTGTACTTTATTTGAATTAGAAGAAACATCACAGATGATCAAATTGAAGTTTCTTATTTTATCAATCAAAAACACTGAGGGCCAAAGAGGTTATGTACCCTGTCCAAAGTTACATGTTGAGTTATCGGCACAAAATCCCAGTCTCTGTCCTATTACAGGCTATTGCTTCTTTCTTCAAGTTTAGTTTTGTTTTCTATTAGTTCACTAGACCTAAAAGAACCCCCTTAGCATTGACATAAAATAAACATATACAGAGTTCTGACAGTAAAGCCTTCCTACCTTTATTTCAGTGTGCCCTTATAGTAGAGACTAATTGGACAGTTGGAGTTAGAAGAGGAGGCAAATAAGGCAAATCTGTAAAACTTGACTTATTTCTACTTAATTTATCTATGTAGGCACTAACTATAGGTGTTTTCCATCTTAAAGGGTTCTAACTGAAATATATAAGAAATTATAATAATGAATTATTCCTTCTTGCTTATGAGACTAAAATGAATTAGAAATTATGAAAATTTCATAATCATATACTATATGTTTATAAAAGAATATTTGATAATTTGAAGACAAAAAAATGAGATATGTCAAATGATGTAAATGCATCATGAGATTACTGCTGTGGTTTGAATATGTCCTCACCAAAATTCAGGTATTGCTAATGTGATGACATTAAGAGGTGGGGCCATTAAGAGCTGAATAGATCATGAGGGTTCCTTTCTTGTGAATGGGCTTAGGTAACCTTAAAAAGGCACTTAAAAATGGAACTGACTCCTGCATGCCCTTTCACCTTCAGCCATGTAATGACACAGTAAAAAGTTCCTCTCCAGGTGCTGGGAACTTGCTCTTGGATTTTCCAAGAGCAAACGTAGGAAATAAATTTCTGTTCATGATTAATTACCCATCCTCTTGTATTCTGTTATATATCAATATTGTTGTATTTTGTGTGCCAAATCACTTTATTTAATTGATACACTCTTCTCCATCCACTCCCAGATAGGAATATTCCTAAAACCACCATTAGTTTTCACATGAGGGAGATTTTCCTTCCTATCTCTGATTGACGGTAGATACTTGGCTTCCTATAATCAGAGCTGACCCAGTTTGATACATAGTTTCTATTTTTTGGCATTGGCAATAATACATGCTTCCTCTCTACTTGGAGGTCTTCAGAATAGGATATATAGTATAATTTATGTATCCTCTAAAGGTTAATGAGAACGGTTAATGAGTCTTAATGAGTGTTTGTTAAATTAAAAAAGTAGAAATTATTTCTTAAAATAATCTGCAACTTTTAATACATGGCTCTGCTTAACATCTATTATTATTTTATTTCTCTCTTTATTACCCTACACAACACCTTAGCCAAAGAACTATGAAAAAGCAGACTTTACAATAAGTGGAATCTGAATGTCCATGGAGGCAATGTGGGGAATCAAATGAGTAAAGAATGTTTGAGAGGAGGCAGAAGACTATTGCAAAAATCCTGGTGAAAGATGATGAGAAAATGAACTAAGGCATTGATGGTGAGGATGAAAGGGCAGAGCAGAAGAATCAGAATTTGGGACCAAATCAGGTGTGTAAACTGATAAAATGGGAAGTGTGAAGAATTATTCTGATGATTTTAGAACTTATGTAGGTTATTCAATTGAATTTGAGTAATTTTTAATCACTCAAATAATATGTCATTGCTAAAATGACATTTTCATAAATTAATCTGAACGTACCTCAACTTTTTAAATCTAAAATGATTAAAAGAAATTTACATGTAATATTCATATAACTACATCTATTCAACTGGTAATATTATATACTTTGCAACATCACATGTTTATCACAAATATCAAGAGCTAATGTTACTGTAGACAACTCTGAATTTGACACTATCTAGTTTGGAAATTAGCCGCATCCTTTTTTCTTCCTCTCATTTTGACCATTTCACAGTTCATTATCACATCTAACAGAGAGAAAGTTGAGTAGGGGAGTAAAAATGAGACTCCTACTTATCACATATAGGTGTTGATTCCTGAGTCACCTTTTTCTTTTTTCTTTTTCTTTTTTTTTTTTTTTTTTTTTTTACCAGTACTTTAGACTGTGAAGATACTTTTCTGTAAAAACTGAAATAAACTAAATTTCCCATATGTCAGCACAGTTTGTCCTGGGCAAACTCAGCAACGTTCACTTCCACATTGCACAATTTAAAATCATTTACAGTTGTTGATCTGCATAGATGTGCGTTTTCCCAGTTTAACAAAGAATTAAAATGGAAATAATTTTTAAAAAGTTATTCATTTTGTTATTAGTCTCTATATTGTATTGATTAGCTGTGTTTTTAGAGAATGCATTCCCAATATTTTCCTGAATTATTAAGACCATGTCTCTCCAGAACTGTTGGGAATCATCAAATGTATTTATATAATAAATACAACCAACAGTAATTGTTCCCACAAATCCAGCTTCAACTCACTGTATGTGATTTGTTGGTGATGCAGGCACTGAGAAACTGCATTAACTTTTAATCCATAAAGATACAATATAAAGAGATGGAGGCCTTGGAAATGAGGGTTAGCCGCAGATATAATCTCTCTGCCCTTGATTAAAACTTTTGAACTATTGATGCTTTCCACATTTACAAGTGTAGACATGGAATACATCTAATAATAATTACAAGAATTACTCAAGTGTACAATTACTTTTACTGTTACAACTAGATAATGATCAATAATACGCACGCATTAACTGCTACATCTAAGGAACAGAGTGGTTATTATGTCACAAAGTGTTTACATCAGTGACTTTGGCAGTGATTTTAATGTTTTATGAAAAATGAACTAAATAATTATTATTCTATTGGGACTGTCAATATCTTAAGACGTATGCACACACACACATATATATAGGTATAATTCAGCAAACTTTCCTACTAAATTATACATACATACTGGAAGTATTTTAAAATGACACCAAAGATACAGAAATATTGAGTTTTGACTGGTATTGAGGCATGGGTAATGAGCAAATTATCAACATTGAAATGAGACAGAAATGAATTATATTTTTTATTTCAGTTACCTATTTGCCCTTGGGTAATTTGCTTGGCTTTTCTGAAATTCAGCTTTAATATAAGAATGAAGATATGACTGCCCTTGAGACTTGCCATGGAAAGTAAGTGAAACAATGTGGGAACAGTGTTTTGTTTGTGTGGCCATGATGCCAGCTGGGTAAGTAGCTACATATTTTTGGGATAATTTGCCACATTTTCAAACCCATATTATTCATTCTTCCTCAATAATGCTTTGAATACATTTATGCTATGTTTGAAATGAGTTTCAATGCTTTTCTACATTGCACATAGGTCTAATAATTCTCAGTTTTTATATCATTGATATAATATATATGAAGAATAATGTATTTTTCTAGGAGTTTGACATTTGCACATTTGTATTGTGAAAAACAAAACAAATGATAAAAATTATGACTCCTAAAACCTAGTTCTGTCTACTACAGAGGGTAATTGATAAATGACAGCCTCTACTACATAACAACAAATATATAAGGGATGCATATTCTAGGAAATGTGTTAATAACTTATTTTTCATTTCTTTTAATATAATTCAATTCCAATAAAGAGAGGTTTCTAAATTCTGCTTCCATTGCCTAAGTACTGAATCATATTAAATGGTGAAATGTGATCTATATGATATATCACAATTATCTTCAATTATTTTTAAGGTAAAATATTATACAAATAAATTAATTAAGTCAAAATTTTAAATTCTCATAACATTTTTTTTCTGAACCTCAAGTGCAAATAAGTAGATGGCATGACTATGTTTACATAGACTTAATATTTTTAAAAAGGAACTCTACTCTCCCAACCCTATCTAAACAAATCAAGAATCTACAAAACTAATAAATCAAATGTAAAGATAAAATAGTCAAAAATTGGGTTCTTGAAGTTATTGCAACATATTTGTAATTAATATGCTGCTGCAAAATCATATTTATATTAAAGTCCACACATTATTATTAAGGCAAATATTAGCATGGGAATAACATATAACCTGGAAAAAATCACAACCCAGCAAATAAAAAGACTCCTGCTAGACAAAATTCTTTTAAATTACACTGTAGTGATAAAGCAGATTAATTGCAAAAATGAGATGTTGTCTGCTAACATTCCTGCTGACCACTCTAAGTACCATACAAGAGACTAAATTTCTCAGGCATTCTGGCAATGGCTTTTTTATAAGTGCCAGCTGAGCTAAATTTGCTAAATGCAAATCTCTCTAGGTAACAAAATGCACAAGCAATGTGAGCTGGCTTTTGCTTGCACTAATTCCAAAGTATGGCACATGAACCCTTGTAGTTGAAAATGCAGAACTATGGCTTGTAAGCTGGGTTCACACTTGATATTAACCTTTCTGTGCATCACTGTAGGATTTGCAGTTTTTAGATTTTAGTCTGAATTACATCGGAAATGAGGTTGGATATGTCATTGTTCGAAGGCAAAATCACACCTTGCTCTTTGGAGACAGCAACAATATATACAGCAGCATTTTGCAAACTTCAGCATGCATTCAAATTATGTGGGGATCTTCTTAAAACACAGAATTTTATTCATAGGCCTGAAAAACGACCTGAGATTTTACATGCCTACCAATACACTGAGTCGTACCTAAATCATCTAAGGTCCTTGCTCTGTGTATCAAAAGTATAGAACAGTACTATCCAAATACTGTTTATTATAATTATAATAAATTATAAAGGGAGCTACATATTTGATTTTAAATATCTAGTATCCACATTAAACAAATTTTAGAAGTTGCAATTAATTTTAGTAATTGTTAAATGTATCCAGAATATTACCTTTTCAGCATATAATATTCAATTAATAATGACATATTTTAGGTTTTTTTGTTAGTAATGCCTTCAAATCTGGAATATTTTGTACAATGACCCATCACAATTTGTACTAGCCACATATCAAGTGACCAATAGCTACATATGCCTAGTGGTTATAATGTCGGACAGCACGAGTATAATTTATTTTTATTTTCATTTTTATTTTTATTTTTTAGAGACAAGGTCTCTCTCAGCCACCAGGGCTGGAGTGCAGGGGTGCAATCATAGGTCTTCAGCCTCAAACTCCTGAGCTCAAGTGATCCTCCCACCTCAGCCTCCCAAGTAGCTGGGACTATAGGTATGCACCACCATGTCTGGCTAATTTTTTATTTGTAGAGACAGGGTCTCACTATGTTGCAGCCCAACTGGTCTCGGGCCCCAGGTGATTCTCCTATCTCGGCCTCCCAAAGTGCCAGGATTACAGGCATGAGCAACTGTACACAGCCTTAGATATAATTTACATAATTTAGAAAGAAACAAAATAATATTTTACTAGTGAAATCATGAATTGTGCTCTTTTCTAAATTTCTCCTTCATTTTTAATCTGTTTAAGTGTAGCTCTTAACTAACAACATCCATAATTTGTTTTATACCTGCTAGGGAAAGAAAACAAGCCAGAGGGGACCCCTGAGACCTAGATCAGACCATTAGAGGTCTTGAAACAGGATAACCTGAGAAAAGAAACAAAGTAGGAATAAAAACAACAGCAGCAAAAATGGAAATAAGTTTCTTGACCAAATAGTTCTTGAGTGTCTGCTATGTTCCAGATACTGCACTGAAGGTGAGACTACAATAATGGACAAGAATAATGAACTTCCTCTTATAGAGGTTCTTAAAGAGAATAAACAGGAATAAAGGAATGAGAGTTAGAAATCAAACTGTGGAAAAATGTTTCAGTAATTATTTAATAATTACTGAAATCAAACTGTGGAAAAATGTTTCAGTAATTATTTAATAATTGTTCTAGGACAATAAAGGGAAAAGGAATGAAGAGAAACATTCAGTGCGTCTTGGTTTCCTCCAACACCTTTGGCTATCCTTTCTTATTTTCCTTTCATGTGTGCCCTTTCCATAGGCACACTCTAATTCTTTAATTACAAAATACCTATGGATTGGTCGTGAATCACCTTCTCTTACTTATATAGACTATCCCTTGGTGATCTTAATGAGGACTTTGTCTAGCAATACTACCAAATGTATAACTTGTGCAAGATTTCCCTGTCTCTGAGCTTCCAGCTGACTACTTGACATTTTCTCTTGACCTAGCATCTTCACATACTGTGAAAATAATTCTGTATCAATAACTCTCCCATTTCTGTTTTTCTCCTAGTCTTTTCCTTCTCAATAACTGACATTGTAGCTATCTAATTGCTCAGACTAGAAATATGGAAATCACCCTTGATTTCCTTTTATCTTGCTCTCCATATCCACCTGACCAGGAAATCCTATTGATTTTAAATCCAAACATATATCTTGACTTCTCTCCAACTCTATTGTCAACCCCATAGTCCAAGTCTTAATTTCACATCCACATTACAGCAATGGTTTTCACTCCTGCTTCCTACAATTGATTCTTCAAATTGTAGTCAGAACATTCTCTATAAAATTCAAATCAGATAATGTATGCTTAAAGATCTTTAGAGGATTCCCATTTCACACTGAATAAAATCTATATTTTTTACCAGGGCATGAAGGGCTTCAAAGATCTGGCTCATGCCTGCTTCTCCATTTTCATCTTCTACTATGCCCCCATCACAATATGCCAGTTATATTAATTTCTCTTCTGTTTCTTGAAGTCCCCATGTTCTTTCTTAACCTTGAACCCTTGTATTTCCTGTTCCTTTGATGTAGAATGTACCTCTCCCAGAAATTTTTGTGGTTGACTACTTTTTGCTTTTCGGTTCTCCCATCAAATGTCATCTCCTTAGGGAAAATGTCTCCCATTATTCAGTAGGTCTGCATCACCACAACTTCTCCTGTTAATCGCACTTTTTACAAATTACCTTGTTAGCTTCCTGCATAGTACATATTTTAATACGTAATTATCTTCCAAATATATTTGCTTACATTTTAGCTTTCTGATTCTTGTAATAATAGATGAGTTTCCCAGAGCCCAATACATATTACTTTCTATAAATATTTACTGATTGATTGTTGAATGAATTGCATAGAGATGAAAAAAATGAGTTCTACTCTCAGATCTGCTATTATAAATTGTACTTTAGTCAGTCATGGATGCTAATCTGTGAGTCTCAGTTTCTTCATGAGTAAAGTAAGTGTCGTAACATGGGTTCCTACTTTAATGTAAGAGTGTATGATTTCATAAAGATAATGAATAATGAAAAAGCTAATACTGAGAGTTTTTGCTTATTTGCTGTAAAATATTCAAGCCAACTGGCTAATATATCCATGAAATCACTCAGCTATGCTGAAGCCACAATTCTGGAAGAGTCAGCAATAGACATCAAGTCAATTTTCTCTGCTAATATAGGGAGAAGTATAGAGATAATACCAAATGGCAGATTTTTCATTTTTGTAATCTTGTTTTGCTTTGGTGATACTAAATTGCCTTGTAGTCTCTGACTGACAATAGGCAAGTTGGGAAGTGGGAATAGTGTGCCAGAAATGTATTATATACTTAGGGCAAAATATCCCAGAATTAAAATTAAAATTGATCATAAAAGGGTATATATATATAAAATCAAGAGTTGACTATATTCACTTAATATAATATTGTTATAGAACACACACAGCACAGGTTCAATTGCTACAACTGCATAAATGTACATGTGTATCTGTCTCTGTATCTCACTATTCATGAATTGATAGGTACAACAGACATGCATGAGATATATATCATATATTCACTACGAAAATGATTTAAATTTGTAGTGGGTATTTCTACACACTGCATCATTTGTTTATTCATTTTTTCACATATGTATTTTATCTATGTCCATTGTTTATTACTATAACAAGATTAGCTATCAGTTAATTTTTATTTTTACTTGACCAGATCATTATTTATTATGACCAAGGTGAAATATTTATAGTGTCTTCTAAATAATCAACAGTCTATGATTGAGTAGAAGAATAAAAACAAGTAATTGAAAACTGGATATTCTCTGCTTATATATGGTAATGTTCACTAATTTAATCTAGTATATTAATTAATGAAAACTTGGCTTAAGAAAAAGCACTTGTATGCAGTTCAATGAGTACAACAAAGACACAAATATCATATATGTATATGTGTCTGTGTATATACACATATAGTCATGTAAATTTGCTTCTTCTCTGCTTGTAAGTAGACTGCCTACACCTTAGGAGCAGAAGAGAATGTTAGTTTCTTTGCTATCAAAACACTCCATGTTTCATTGTTAAATATTAAATTCGTATTCTCTTGACATTATCTACATTTGTTGATAATAATTTGTAACCTAGAGTTGCAGTGCTCAAATTTCTTGATATGCTGCTGTGCTATGATAAGTTGTAAAACTTATGACAAGCAAGTTGTTACTAATAATAGTCTAATCATTGATTGTAAAAAGCACTTAATTTGCAAAATAAGTTCATGGAAATTTCTCACGATAAAAAGAAAAAGTGAGGTGACAGAGAAGGTTGAATCACCACTAGTTTAATTCAAGTAATGATTCTGATGTGGTATACATCATATGATACAATAAATGACATAGATGTATTTTTCATTGATAAGTACTGATACATATAAGTAATGATACTAATGTTGTGGCCATTATAGGTTAGGAAGGCAAATTGCAACTCTCTCTTCAAGCCTGTTCCATCCATGATGACAATGGTCTAACCAAGTATCTTAAGGAATTGAAGATTGCCTACTAGAAGTATCCCATTATAACAGAGTTTTGAAAAACAGTTTTAAAGAAAAAAAAGTATTAATATAAAATCAGTTTCACGTCTTACAGAAATGTTTTATTCTACTTGCTCAACATATTATATATATGCACATATATAAATAATAAGCTAGATGTTAATCAACACCTTTTTTTTTTTTTTTTTTTTTGAGGCGGAATCTCACTCTGTCGCCCAGGCTGGAGTGCAGTGGTGCGATCTCTGCTCACTGCAAGCTCCACACCCCGGGTTCACGCCATTCTCCTGCCTCAGCCTCCCTAGGAGCTGGGACTGCAGGCACCTGCCACCATGCCCGGCTAATTTTTTGTATTTTTAGTAGAGACGGGGTTTCACCGTGTTAGCCAGGATGGTGTAGATCTCCTGACCTTGTGATCCGCCCGCCTCGGCCTCCCAAAGTGCTGGGATTACAGGCGTGAGCCGCCGCTCCCGGCCTGTTAATCAACACTTTTTTTGTTGTTTGTTTTGTTTGTTTAATTATACTTTCAGTTCTGGGTTACATGTGCAGAACGTGCAGTTTTGTTACATAGATGTACACGTGCCCTGGTGGTTTGCTGAACCCATCAACCCATCACCTGCATTAGGTATTTCTCCTAATGTTATTCCTCCCCTACCCCCCTACCCCCGCGACACGTTCTGGTGTGTGATGTTTCCCTTCCTGTGTCCATGTGTTCTCATTGTTCACCTCCCACCTATGAGTGAGAACATGCAGATGGTTTTCTGATCTTGTGATAGTTTGCTGAGAATGATGGTTTCCAGCTTCATCCATGTCCCTGCAATGGACATTAACTCATCCTTTTTTATGGCTGCAAAGTATTCCATGGTGTATATGTGCCATCTTTTCTTAATCCAGTCTATCATTGATGGACATTTGGGTTGATTCCAAGTCTTTGCTATTGTGAACAGTGCCACAATAAAGATACATGTACATGTGTCTTTATCGTAGAATGATTTATAATCCTTTGGGTATATGCCTAGTAATGGGATTGCTGGGTCAAATGGTATTTCTAGTTCTAGATCCTTGAGGAATTGCCACACTGTCTTCCACAATGGTTGAACTAATTTACACTCCCACCAACAGTGTAAAAGCGTTCCTATTTTTCCACAACCTCTCCAGCATCTGTTGTTTCCTGACTTCTTAATGATCGCCATTCTAACTGGCGTGAGATGGTATCTTATTGTGGTTTTGATTTGCATTTCTCCAATGACCAGTGATGATGAGCATTTTTTCCTATGTCTGTTGGTTGCATAAATGTCTTCTTTTGAAAAGTGTCGTTCATAGCCTTTGCCTATTTTTTGATGGGGTTGTTTGTATCTTTCTGGTAAATTTGTTTAAGTTTTGTAGATTTTGGATTTTGCCTTTTGTCAGATAGATAGATTGCAAAAATTTTCTCCCATTCTGTAGGTTGCCTGTTCACTCTGATGATAGTTTCTTTTGCTGTGCAGAAGCTCTTTAGTTTAATAAGATCCCATTAATCAACACATGATAAAAGCAAAGTGTCTAGAAGGTGTATTACAATTCCCAGTCATTTAAAAATAAGATTTAGTATTCTAAATAATTACTAATAAGTATCATTTAATATTTGCTAAATATAAAGAAGTAACTAATTATCACAGTTTACCTTATAAAATAAATTATCTCCACTTTCACATCTCACATTGGTATGGCTACTTCCATTTTAGTTTTCAGGTTCTGGTGCTCTTAATCTTCCTACACTTGTTCCAGTCGAAACCTAATTCACTGGCATATAAACTAATTGCTTCCCCTTTATGAATTAATAAATAATAGAGGTAGAATAGTATTTTCTCATTTACACAACAGCTATGAAACTGAATTCTCTTTAGCAATACTGACTTATGAGTTAAGGCATGTAAAACAAAGAGCATACTATGTTTATATAGATACCATTCCATAAATGCCACCTATTGTAACTATTTCTCTGTTCTTATGAGAGTATGGGATCCAAACTCACCTGCTTCCTTATATAATTTCATTATCCCTCTTCTATTTAAACATCAAGGTGGGAAAATATAGATGGGAAGAGCAGAGTGTCTCCCTCTTTCCAAGAAATTGAATATTATTTCTCCTTAGGTCTTTGAGGAATCACCACACTGTCTTCCACAATGGCTGAATTAATTTACACCCTTAAAAACAGAAATACCATTTGACCCAGCAATCCCATTACTTGGCACATGTGCAAAGGAATATAAATCATTCTATTATAAAGACACATCCACGCATATGTTCATTGCAACACTATTCACAGTAACAAAGACATGGAATCAACCCAAATTCCCATCAACGATAGACTGGATTAAAAAAATTGTGTTACACTTACACCATGGAATACTATGCAGCCATAAAAAAGACTGAGATCATTTCCTTTGCAGGGACATAGATAGAGCTGGAGGTCATTATCTTAGCCAACTAACACAGGAACAGCAAAACCAAATATTGCATGTTATCACTTATAAGTGGGGGCTAAATGATGAGAACACATAAACACATAGAGGAAAACAACACACACTAGGGCCTTTCAGAGGGTGGAAGGTGGGAGGAGGGAGAGGATCAGGAAAAGTAACCAGTGGGTACTAGGCTTAATACCTGGGTGATGAGATAATCTGTACAACAAACCCCCATGACACGATTACCTATGTAACAAACCTGAACTTGCACCCCTGAACTTAAAATTAAAAATAAAAAAAAAAATTATTTTCCTGAGAGAGCTAGAAAACTGAGATAAATAAGATCTTTAAATATTTTTACTAGGATCATAGTACACTTAAATTATATTGGATACAGACATATATTTTACTGAAAAGAGCACCAAATTGTGTTACATTATCTGTTATTCATAAACCATGTTTTTATATTTTACGTTTATTCATGTCCCCCACAGTCAAATATTTTACTCTATATTTCTACATTTTCTCTAAATATCTTCTTAAAATTTTGTCTTCTTAATCTATTTAAAGAAATGGCCAACAAGTATAGGGAAAAATGCTGTTCATCACTAATCATCAGGAAAATGCAAATCAAAACCATAATGAGATATCATCTCACCCCAGTTAGGATAGCTGTTATCAGAAAGACAAAAAAAAAAAAATGCTAGCAAAGGTGAAGCGAAAAGAGAAATCTTATACACTGTTGACAAGAATGTAAATTAGTACAGCTGCTATGGAGAACAGTATGGAAGTTTCTGAGAAAAAAAAACTAAAAGTAGGACTATCCTACAGTCCAGTAACTCCACTACTATTGGGTATTTATCCAAAGGAATGGAAATCAGCATATAAAAGAGAAACAGTACCCCCCTTTTAATTGCAGCATTATTCTCAATAGCCAAGATGTGGAGTCAACCTAAGTGTTAATCAGCAGATGAATGAATAAAGAGAATGTGGTACATATACACAATAGAATACTATTCTGCCTGAAAAAATGAAATCCCATTATTTGTAGCAATGTGGATGAGGCTGGAGGACATTATATAAGTGAAATAAGTCAGGCACAGAAAGATAATACCACAAATTCTCACTCCTATGTGGGAGCTAAAGAAAATTGAGCTCATGGAAGCAGGGAGCAGAATTGTGGTTATTATAGACTGGGAAGAATGGGAGGAGTGGGGGTAGGGAGAGGTGAATTAATGAATACAAACTTACAGCTAAATGGAAGGAATAAATTCAAGTGTTCTGTAGCACTGCAGCATGAATACGATTAACAATAATTTAGTGTATATTTTTGAAAAGCTAGAAAAGAGGATTTTAAATGTTCACACACAGAGAAATGATAAATGTTTGAGTTGATGGCTATGTAATTACTCTGATTTGATCATTACACATATACACATATATTAAAATATAACTGTGTATGTACAATTATTACATGTCAACTAAAAATAAAAGGAAAAAAACTAGCAATTTTAACTGACAACTGCACCCTTATTACTTCTGTGTAACTATCTAGGATTTGATTGCAACATAAAAATCTGTACTAAATATATGTAATTTATTTTTGTATAAAGTGCCTATGTCCCTGCTCTTCCTGCTTAAAATATGCATTAAGAAAATTCTTTAGTGGTTAATCAAGACAGAACACATTATGAGAATGCTCCCTACAGAGATTTATTTCTAAAGCTTATCCTATCATTGCTACTTATTTAGTTTAAAGCTTTAAGATGATCTGGGCACAGTGGCTCATGCCTGTAATCCCAACATTTTGAGGGGCCAAAGCGAGAATATCATTTGAGCCCAGGAGTATGAGCCAAGTCTGAGTCTTCTTCTGTACAAATTTTTTTTTTTAAAAAAAGCTTTAACAATACACACACAGACACACATACACGCACGATGTATATATACATATATATGCAATGTGTGTGTATATATATATATATGCAATGCTAATTAACACACTACTTACCAGTGATAAGCAACATGTAGTAAAGCAAGGGGTACTTTATCAATGTCAAAAGCACTGTAATATTATGAAATACACACTGATAAATATTTTCATATTACCAACGATTCCTTTTCCATTACTGAATTGTAGCTCAGATCCTGACTAAACATAAATATTTGGAAATAATTCTATCAGTTAGCTTTATATCAGTGCACTAATGGAATTTAACAAAATTATTTCTAAAACACAGTTTCTCACTATTTCTAAAGACTAACACGAAAGTGATTTTCAAATTTTTGATGTTTATGATATCATATTCTAGATATGTGCTCTCAGAATTTATGTATGAAACATGAAAGACACAGGCTTAATTTAGCTACATAGGTCAAATATCATCGATTTAGTTTTAGCTATTTTGTCTTTATAGTTATCACAAATATGTGCACTATTATTTATTAAACAATCTATTATTAGGTTGACGCAAAAGTAATTGCAGTTTTTGCCATTTAACATTAATATATTCTATATAAATTAACAGATACACAATAAATCAGATATTTATTCAAAGATGCATATATCCTGTTTTGCTTTGGTGATTGAAGAGACTGAATAAAGAAAGATTTTGAATGGGACCACTTACTTCAATTAAGTACAAACACTTTCTGCTGAAATGACGATAATTTGTGTTAAATGACTCATAATATTGTGGATTAGTGGAATCTGAGCTCCTACCACATCTCTGCACTCTATGGCATTCTTACTCAATGTCAACAATATTTGTTAGTCTAACCTAGATTCCATTTGATTGAGCAATACTGAGACATTCAAGAAGAATTTCAAACTAACTAACTCTGTTGAATAAATGAAAACATTTGGCTAGAATTTTAAGAAACATTTTTCCATTGTTAGCCCGGAAATTTTAGGATTAACCAAAGTCAAAATTAAAAAATCTGACTGAGAATACATTTTCTATCTTAAGAAATTTTTAAAACTATTTTATGTTTTAAGAAGCACTCATTCTTGGGACAGAATTGCCTACTGTTATTGTGATCCTTTCCTCAGGCAACCTTGGTTATCTAGTCCTCAGGCGCTCCATATTTCTTTCAAAGGGAAACAAGGGTTTCTATTGGTACTAGGAATAGTAGCATTTCTTCACTAGAGAAAACAATTTTTAATAATCTAATTATCCTATGTCAAAAACACATTGAAAACGAAAGTATGGAATTAAGAAATTTTGCACATCCACCAATGCTTGCTGGTGGTCTATAGGAAATTTACTTTCTTTAATCTGAGTCTCATAGCGTTATGAGGAAGATTAAATTACTGAGTGCATGTAAAACCATTACAGCAGTGCCTGGGAATGTAATTACTCAATACATGTTAGCTATATTATGATTATCAGTTGTAATTCCATCTAGAAGAATGAATTTTATCAAAGTTCCACAAAGACCCTCATTATATAACATGGATCCCCAAAACATTCTCTTAATTGTAAAATTGCCACAACTCATTGTTATTAATCATGATAACAATTTCCATCCAAGTATTAATGTCCACATTTTTCAGCATCTAATAAGGCAGTTATACAACATGCAGTCAAAATTCTTTATCTATAGTTGGATTGTTCACATTGTGGATTATTTATAATAAGACTTTAATCTTATGGTGACTTCTGCTTGACATGACACTTTACATCCATCTCTATCTAGTCCTAGTTGACATGTGCTAGGGGAATTCAAAAATAATTTGACTTTACTCTAGCTGAACATAATTATTTAAGCAAACACGCTGTCAAAACTACACATAGTATATCCCAAAGGTAAATGTAAGTGACTTGATCATAACCTATGCTACTATTGCCTTATATTAGCTTGAATAATCTCAAGTTCAGTGTAATTAAGTAAAAACTCTGTTATATCAAATACAGCCTTATTTTTGAACACATGGAAATGGACCACAATATGAAATGGCCAAACAATAAACAACAATGGTTTTCTTTGGGTAATATCATTAGAATGAATGTGTGTGTCTGTATAGAAATACATGTTTTTAAATAAACTTCACAAGTTTTTGATTATAGTAAGTGAAAACAGCCAGTCAAAAAGACCACAAATACATAATAGAGACAGAAAGTAGATTAGTGGTTGCCTAGGGCTAGGGGACGTGGGTGGAGTAAATGAAGAGTGACTATTAATGGGCATGAAGTTCCTTTGCAGTAAAAAAAGAAAAACTGTTCTAAAATTACAATGTGGCAATGTTTGTACAACTATGTGAATCTATTAAAGCCATTGAATGATGTATTTTTTAAGTTTTCTAAATTACCTCCATAAATTAAGGAATAAATAAAAAATACTGAGAAACATGAGATGTATCAATGAAACTAGACTTTGTGATCCTCTTAAAGTAAATAAATGTGTTCTGCATATATTTATATTTTAAAAAGAGGTGGTTTTTGCTAGATTTAGGTAGCCTAATAGCTTGGCTTTGAGGTTCAACACTAATTATTACTGAACAAATTCAAAGGCCAGACATGCAATCCAGAATAGTAAAATTGATGACTTGGGAACTGTGTCTCTCAACAAATAGTGATACTATTTTTTTAAATAAAGCCTGAGTTTTAACCAACAAATTTAATTAATAAAATTAATAACTTATGTTTGTTAATCTGTAAAATGGAGATTGTATCTACCTTAGAGGTTGTGAAAATTAGGGGAATAATGACTATCACCAGAGTTCATCACACTAGCTGAGCCTCATGAACATAGGTGATAGTTTTATTACTTAGCTCTGCTTCTATGTTGATAAATCAAAACTTTTCTATGCAAGGTGGGCACTGATAAATTATACTCCAAAATGTTTTTGTAGCCTGATGCTCTAGACATCAGGCCTAATGGTGTTCTAGAAAATAGACGCACAAGGTTCCTGCACTCATGCTTACATTCATTATGAATAAGAGGTAAGCAAATAACCTAAGTAGTGATAGAATGCTAATAGAGATACATCCTGCACCGCTTTCCACATTCAGAGAAAGGAGAGATTACTTCGGAGTGGAGGGCCAGTGAAGATTTCAAGGAGAATTATTGCTGCTCACTGAAAGATGTTTTGTTGGAGCTATCCAATAGCTATACCCTCGCTTGTGCACAGTCTTGTCCCTCCACATTCTACAATATATTTTCATAATCCTGAACTCAACAAAGATAATTAACTCCAGAAATTGAAAGACAGCTCATCTTTATTTTCATTATAGAACTAAAATACATCACAGTTGAATTTGAATTTATATTAGAACTCACGAAATGCTTCAGGAGAGATCTGAAGTCATAAAATCAGGTAGTACAGAATACAATAAAGAGCTTGCTTTCCAGCAATTTCCTAGAATTAATGATTCTTCCTTTACTGGTAAAAAATATTTTTTTAAAAAAATGACACATATAAATAAATAAAAGCTACAGAGCTAAGATAAACAAATGAATAATAAACAAGAAATTTTCCTATAGACTAAATACAAAAACACTTTGCCCAATTTATTTTAGTTTCAAAAAGCAATAATAATTGAATTTTACTGTGAAGCATCGGAGTGTGTTTTTATTACCTGGTTTAGTTTATATTCAATTTGGTGTTTCATAATTATTTGAAAGGTTGATTTCTGTGATATAAAATCAATCCAGCAAATGGTGAACCATGCTTAATTAGTTTGCTCAATGAATCCACTACAATTCACAAGGCTCCCAGATTTAATATAATTTAGACATTTATTAGAGGGAGATGCTGATTTTAAATGCTAATTGGAACATACTGACCTCCCTTATCAGTTTGTTGCCTTAAGTGGAGAGTACATATAAAGTGGGTACACTTGTAATTAGGCTGCCTAGGTTTGATTATGCTCATCCCTTCTGACCTGTGTGAATCAAGGAGAATTGCATAATCTCTCAGTATCTCAATTTCTCATCCGAAAATGATCATGACAACGGTGCCTATATCAGATCAACCTCATAATCATTGTATTGTTTAGGATAATACCTAATATAGTAAGTTACTAATTAAAGTTAGCTCTAATTATTTTCTATACTTTCAAAAGAGAAAGACACACAGAGCCTTTATTGGTTCATTTTCACACTGCTAATAAGGACATACCCGAGACTGAGTAATTTATGCAGAAAAAGAGGTTTAATGACTCAGTTCCACATGTCTGGGGAGGCCTCACAATCATGGCAAAAGGTGAAGAAAGAAAAAGACATGTCTTACACAGTGGCAGGCAAGAGAGTTTGTGCAGGGGAACTCCTATTTATGAAAACATCAGATCTTGTGAGACTTATTCACCACCATGAGAACAGTATAGGGGAAACTGCACCCATGGTTCAATTATTTCCACCTGGCCCTGCCCTTGACACGTGGGGATTATTACAATTCAAGGTGAGATTTGGGTGGGGACACAGCCAAGCTATATCAGAGCCCACTGAAATCTGGATGTGAGATAGCATAATGTGAATCATGAGCATAACATTGTATCCAAATTATATTTCTTCCAAAAAGTAGGTCAAGGGCTTTGTCCTTTTTGTGGTCCACCTTATCCTTTTTGGCCGAAGGGTCGACCCCTCACATGAACTCCTGGCAAGTATTATCATACCACTTTTATACCTTATAAGGCAACTACTCCTTAACATCCTGCATTTTTCTTATGTCATGACTTGATGTTTCAGTTTCAGGCTTTTCTCCCCAACTAAATAATGGACTTTTGAGGGCAGAGGCCTTGCCCTTTGTTTTCTGTTAACTTCCATAGTACCTGTCAGAATGTCTTGCATAGCGTGGAAGTCCATGAATACTTCTTCAGATACAGATTCATATCACAAAAGACATTGTGAGAGTTTCCTCCTGAATCTGCCACATAATCTGGCAAGTTTATTGTCCTGTAAGTCTTTCTGTTTCTAAGAATGAGCCTGGTTTTTGGCAAAAGGTATGAACTTTATAAATTTCAATCAATGAACAAGAATTTGGTCAGAAGACTAAATTCTCCTGGCTATACTTGGAGGAGGGCTTGGTTGTCAGTATAAATATTGTAAAAGAATAAGTCAGCAAATCAGAATAAGAGAAAATATACAAAATTTCGTCATCTGGGAATTTAAACATTTGAGTTTTAAATTGATACTGGCTATATTTTTGAAGAAAATATGCTCTTCTGTCATTTGAAAATACTATATTTGGACTTCCAATTTCCTGCCCCAAATGTAAGAACTTGGAAATCATCACTCCATTGCAACAATAAGTAAAAAGCTGAACACACAGAAGGCCAGCAACTCTTCTTAGACCCATAATAGAAGTGAGATTGCAAGGTAAACATCTACTCTCAAAATTTTGGAGACAGGAGCAGATATAGCCATACCTCATTTTATTACACTTCATCTTTGTTGCATTTCCCAGATGTTGTGTGTTTTTTTTTTTTTTTTTTTTTTTTTTTTTTTTTTTTTTTACAAATTGAATGTTTATGGCAACCCTGTATCAAACAAGTCTATTTGCACAATTTTTCCAACAGCAAGTGCTTACTTTTTATGTCTCTGTGTCACACTTTGGTAATTCTCAATATATTTCAAACTTTTTCATTGTTGTTATATCTCTTATGGTGATCTATAGTCAGTGATTTTTGATGTTACTGTTTGGAGGGGACACAAATCATGCCCATAAAAGATGGCAAAATGAATCGATCTTAATCAATAAACACCACATGTGTTCTGATTGCTTCATCCCCAATTCCCCCCTCCCAGTATTCCCTGAGATGCAACAATATTGAAATTAAGCCAATTAATAACTCTGCAAATGGTCTCTACATGCTCAAGTGAAAGGAAGCGTCCCACCTCTCTCACTTTAAATCAAAATTTAGAAAATATTAGGCTTGATGAGGAACACAGGTTGAAAGCAAAGATAAGCTGAAAGCTAGGCCTCTTGCATCGAGGAGTTGAGCAAGTTGTAAATGTAAAAGAAAAGTTCATGAAAGAAATTAAATGTACTATTATAGTGAACACACGGATGGTGAGAAAACAAAGAAGTCTTTTTTGCTGATATGGAGAAAGTTTCAGTGGTCTGAATAGATCAAACCAGCCACTATCTTTCTTTAAGCCAAAGCAAAATCTAAGGAAAGGCCCTAAGTCTTTTCAATTCTCTGAAGTCTGAGAGAGGTCAGAAAGCTTCAGATGAAAAAATAGAAGCCAGCAGAGGTTTGTTCATGAGGCTTAAGGAGAAAAGTCTTCTCCATAATGTAAAAGTACAAGAGGAAGCAGCAAGTGCTGATGTAGAAGCTACAACAAGTTATTCAGAAGATCTAGCTGAAAGCATTGACAAAGGGGGCTGCCCTAAACAACAGATTTTTATTTTTTAATTTACTTTAAGTTCTGGGATATATGTGTAGAAGGTGCTGTTTTGTTACATAGGTATACATGTGCCATGGTGGTTTGTGGCACCCATCAACCTGTCATCTAGGCTTTAACCCCCATGTACATTTGTTCTAATGCTCTCCCTCCTCTTGTCCCCTATGCCTGACAGGGCCCGGTGTGTGATGTTCCCCTCCCTTGTCCATGTGTTCTCATTTAAACAACATATTTTTAGTGAAGATAAAGCAGCCTTATATTGGAAGAAGATGCCCCCTGGGACTTTCATAGCTAGAGAGGACAAAACAAGGCCTAGCTTTAAAGCTTCAAAGGACAGACTGACTCTCTTGTTAGGGGCTAATGCAGCTGCTGACTTTAAGTTGAAGCCAATGCTCATTTACTTTTCCAAAAATCCTAGAGCTCTTAAGAATTCTGTTAAATCTATCCTCCCTGTGTCCTATTAATGGAACAACAAAGCTTGGATGACAGCACATCTGTTTACAGCATGGTTTCCTGAATATTTTAAGGCCACTGCTGCGAACTGGTGCTCAGAAAACAATATTACTTTGAAATTATGACTGCTTATTGACAATGCACCTGGTTACCCAAGAGCTCTGATCGAGATTCACAAGGAAATTAATATTGATTTTATGCCTGTGAACACAACATCCATTCTGCAGCCTATGGGTCAAAGAGTAGTTTCAACTCTCAAGTCATATTATCTAAGAAATGCATGTTGTAAGGCTACAGCTGTCATAGATAGCAATTTTTCCAATGGGTCTGGGTAAAGTAAATTGAAAATATTCTGGAAAGGATTCACCAATCTAGATGAAATTTAGAACATTTGTGATTCATGGGAGGTGATCAACATAATCAACATGAGCAGAAGTCTGAAAGAATTTAATGCCAACTTTCATGAATGACCGTGAGGAGTTCAATACTTCAGTGGAAGAAGTAACTGCAGTTGTGGTAAAAATAACAAGAGAAATAGTATTAGAAGTAGAGCCTGAAGATGTGACCAAATTGCTACAATCTGACAATAAAATGAGAATGAAAATAATGAGGAGTTGCTTCTTATGGAGGAACAAAGACAGTGGTTTCTTGAGATGGAATCTCCTTTTGAAGATGCTATGGACCTTGTTGAAATGACAACAAAGGATTTCGAATATTACATAAACCTAGTTGATATATCAGCAGCAGGGATAAGAGGATTTACTCCAATTTTGAAAGAAGTTCTACCATGGGTAAAATTCTATTAAACAGCATGGCATGCTATAGAGAAATCTTTTGTGAAACAAAGAGGCAATTGATAAGGCAAACTGCATTGTTGTTTTACTTTAAGAAATTGCCTCAGTTAGCAACCACCACCCTAATCAGGCACCAACCATCAATACCCAGGCAAGACTCTCCACCAGCAAAAGGATTATGACACGCTGAAGGCCCAGAAGATTGTTAGCATTTTTAGAAATGAAGTATTTTAAATTAAGGTATTCATGTTGTTTTTTTAGACATAGTGCTATTGCATACTTAAGAGACTATAGCACAGTGGAAACATAACTTTGATATGTACTGGGAAACAAAAAAATGTGTGGCTTGCTTTATTGCAGTATTCACTTTGTGGCTGTGATCTGGAACTGAACCTTCAATGTCTCTAAGGCAAGATACGCCTGTAAGGAGAATTGCAACTTACTGGACCAGAAACCTCTGTGGGAACTATTGCTGGGCTATAGGAAAACCTGAACTGTATTTGATGACTTGCTGGAGACTCAGTGTGGAAAATTCTGAGAGTCAAAAACTCTAGGGGGATCTAGTCATAGGCGGGTGCCCATACTTATGTGAGTTTTGCCTTGAGGAACTAGATTCCCACAGTGAATATTAGAGGAAAAAAAAATCCCTTCATGCTTCCAGCAGGGGAAGGGAGAAAGTAACCATTTTGAAATACACTATTCTTTTCTTCTTCACAATGTCTGTCCCTGGGGAAACTGTTTAACTTGAACCTAACCTACTGGGGGTTAATTCGAGTCTACATGACCTGGGAAAGGGAAATGCCCAACTCCAGCAGGCTCTAGCCTTCCAACTGGGAGAAGGAAAATACTCAACGTCAGCCCATTCTAGCTATCCTATTAAAGGTAAAAGAGGGTGGGAGGGGGAACAGAGAAGCACTTGTGAAGGTTGCAGTCCAGAGGCACAGGCTCACTAAAAGACCGAGTCTCAATCATAGGACCAGACCTATGATTAAGGACCACACCTTACCACCACATTACTAAAGGTCTATTTACAACAGTTCTACTTACCCACTACATCATGTTCAGATATATATTAAAAAAACAAGGCATACTAAAAAAAGAAACACACACACACAGTTTGAAGAGACACAGTAAGTGTCAGAACCATACTCAGATAAGGCAGGGATGTTAGAATTATCAGACTGGGAATTTTTAAAGCTACAGTTTATATGCTAAGAACTTTAATGTATAAAGGAGACAGCATGTAAGAACAGATGGGCAATGTAGGCAGAGAGACGGAAATTCTCAGACAGAAACAAAAAGAAATTCTAGAGCTCAAAAACACTGTAAAAGTAATAAAGAATGCCTTTCTTGGGCATATTAGTAGATCGGTCATGGTTGAGAGAAGACTACCTGAGCTTAAGGATATTTCAATTGTTATTGCCAAAAAAGAAAAATAAAAAAAGATTAAAAAAACCATCAACAACACAGAATATCCAAGAATTGTGAGAAAACTGCAAATAGTGTAACATATATGTAATGAGACTATCAGAAGAAGAATTAAAAAAAAAGAGAAGAAATATTTGAATCACCCACGACCAAGAATTTCTTCAAGTTATGTCTGACACCAAACCAAAGATTCAGGAACCTCAGAGAACAGCAAGCAAGATAAATGCTAAGAAAACCTACACCTAGACAAATCATATTTAAATTGAAGAAAATCAAAATAAAGAAACAAAAATCCTGAGAGAAACTAGAGAGAAAGAAAAAAAGCACTCACTAAGATAAAATTATATCTGACTTATCAGAAACTATGAAAGCAAGAAAAGAATTAAATGAAATATTTAATATTAAGAGGAAAATATCATCAACCTAAAATTCTGTAACCTGTGAAATTATCCTTAAAATGTGAAAGAGAAATAAGAATTTTCTTAGACCAAAAAAAAAAAAAAATTTGAGGGGATGTGTTGTCAGCAGACCCTCCCTGCAAGAAACCCCAAAAGAAGAACTTCAGAGAAAAGAAAACTGAAATAGATCAGAAACTTGTATCAACATAAAGAAAGAGCATCAGAAAATGAGTAAGTGAAAGTAAAATAAATACCTTTTTCTTAATTTATCAAATGGACAATAATTTGTTCAAATTAATAACAGAAACAATGTTTTTATTAAAAATGCATATATATGTGTATGCTTACGTATATGTGAAATGAATAACAGCAATGATACAAAGAATGGAGGGGGTAATTATTATTTTTTAAGAAGTTAGAAATATTAAGTATTATTTTTAGGGAGTTATTGTAAGGTACCTGCACTACCTATGAAGCAGCATAGTGTTACTTGAAGGTGGACTTGGATTAGTTGTAAATTTATATTGCAAACTTCAGAGCAACCACTAAAAATAACTTATAAGAAACCAAGGAAAAATATATAACTGATATGCTAAGATAAAAAGAAGATGAAATGGAATAATATAAAGTGATCAATTAAATTCATAAAATGCGGAAAGAGTAGAAGACAAAAAAAGGAACCAGGATCACAGGCAACAAATAGAAGATAGTCATAAATAAGATAAATATTAACCCAACTATATCAATACTTATTTTAAACATCATGGTATAAATATATCAATTAAAAGATAAGATTGACAGAGTGGATCAATAAGCAAGACTATATTTTGTCTGCAAGAAACTTACCCTAAATATAAATACATATAAGTTAACAGTAAATGAATGGGGAAATATATATTATGCTAACAATCATCAAAACAAATTTCAGACAGAGCCGACGTCAGAGCAAGGATAGTATCAGAGATAAGGAGGAGCATTACATGATAAAGGGATGAATCCTTTAAGAAGACATGACAGTCCTTAATATGTACATACTTAACAGCATTGCATCGGAATACATCAGGGAACAACTAATATAACTGAAAGAAGAAATAGATAAACCTGCTATTATATTTGGAAACTTCAGCACCCCTCTATCAGAAATGGACAGGTCCAACAGGCAGGAAATAAGTAAGGATATATTTGAACTCTACAGCACCATCAATGAACTGAATATAATTGACCTCTATTGGGTACTTCATTCAACATCAGAAAAGCATGCCTCTCAAGCTAACATGGAAAATTCACCAAGGTAAACCACATTCTGGGCCATAAAACATATTTTAACAAATTTGAAAGAATAGGAATCAAACAATGTTTGTTCTCAGACCACAATAAAATTAAACCAGAAATCCATAACAGAAAGATAGCTGAAAATTTTCAAAATAGATAGAAATTAAACAAATACACCCCTTTTTTTCTCTTCTCTCCTTTTTTTTTAAATTATACTTTAAGTTCTGGGATACATGTGCAGAACATGCAGGTTTGTTACATAGGTACACATGTGCCATGGTGGTTTGATGCACTCATCAACCCATCATCTACATTAGGTATTTCTCCTAATGCTATCTCTACCCTAGCTACCCTATCCCCCAATAGGCCCCAGTGTGAGATGTTCCCCTCCCTGTGTCCATGTGTTCTCATTGTTCATCTCCCACTTATGAATGAGAACATGTGGTGTTTGATTTTCTGTTCCTGCATAGTTTGCTGAGAATGATGGCTTCCAGCTTCATCCATGTCCCTGCAAAGGACATGGACTAATCCTTTTTTATGGCTGCATTGTATTCCATGGTGTATATATGCCAGATTTTATTTATCCAGTCTATAATTGATGGGCATTTGGGTTGGTTCCAAGTCTTTGCTATTGTGAATAGTGCTGCAATAAACATAAATGTGAATGTGTCTTTATAGTAGAATGGTTTATAATCCTTTGGGTTTATACCCAACAGTGGGATTGCTGAAGGTTACGGGGCATTACAAACACACTTTTAAATAGCATACAGGTCAAAGAAGACATCTTAACAGAAAATTAAAAAAAAAATTGAACTACATAAAAATGAAAACACAACATAACAATTTGTAAGATGTAATGAAAGCAGTGCTTACAGGGATATTTATAACATTGATTGTATAGAGACGAAGAAAGATCTAACATTAATAATCTAAGTTTTCATCTTAGGAAACTAGGAAAAGGAGAGGAAATTAAATAAAAAGTAACTGGAAGTAATAATAGTAGTACTAAAAACCAGAGTAGAAATCAATGGAGTAGAAAACAGGAAGCCAATAGAGAAATTCAGTGAAATCAAAAGTCAGTCTTTTGGGAAAAAAAAAAAAAATCAATAAAATCTGTATGCCTTTAGCCAGGCTAAGGAAAAAAAAAAAAAAAAAAGAAGAGTGGACTCAAATTACTAACATCAGAAATGAAAGAAGACACATCACTACAGATCTAATGGACATGCAAATGATAATAAAGGAATATTGTAAACAACTCCATGACCACAAATTTGATAACCTAGTTGAAACAGACCTACTCCTTGAAAGACACAATCTGCTAAATCTCACCCAAGAAGAAATGGCAATCTGAATAGGTGAATATTTACCAAACAAATTGAATCAAAAATGAATAACTTTCCAAACAGAAAGTACAAGGCCCAGATGGGTTCACTCATGAATTCTACCACACATTCAAGGAAGAAATTATACCAATTTTCTATAATGTCTTTCTGAGGGTGGAAACAGAGTGAATACTTTCTAACTCATTCTATGAAGTCAGCATTACCTGAATACTAAAATCAGATAAAGACATTATAAGAAAAGGAAACTACACACCAATATATGTTGTGGACATAGATGCAAATATCTTCAACAAAATATTAGCAAATCAAATCCAACAATGTATAAAAAGAATTGTATGCCATGACCAAGTGGGATTTATCCCGGATATACAAGGCTGGTTCAATATTCCAGAATCAATTAATATGGTCCATCATATCAACAAGCTAAATAAGAAAGATCACAAAACTGTATCAATAGATGTAGAAAAAGCATCTGACAAAATCCAAAAATTCATCATAAAATCATCATAAAATCTCTCAGTCATTCATCATAAAATCTCTCAGTCAACTAAGAATAGAACTTGCTCAAACTGATAAAGACATCTACAAAGGAACTGATGGCCAACATCATGCTTGATTGTGGAAAACTGGAAGCTTTCTAACTAAGATCAGGAAGTAGGCAAGGTTAACTCTCACCACTCTTTTTTCAAGATTTTACTGAAAGTCCTAGCACAATTATACAAAGAGAAATAAAGGTATACTTACTGGTGTAGAAGAATTAAAAGTGTCTTTGTACACAGGTGATATCATTATGTAGGAAATCCAAAACAATCGACAACAACAACAAAAGTTCCTGAAACTAACAAGTGATTATAGCAGTGTGGCAGAATGCAAAGTTAATATACACAAGTTAATCACTTTCCTATATGCCATGAATGAACAAGAGGAATCTGAAACCAAGAACACACACTATTTACATTAGCATCCCCAAAAGGAAATATTTAAATATAAATGTAACAAAATATGCACAGAATCTATATGAGGAAAACTACAAATCTCTAATGAAAGATATAAAAAGGACTGAATAAATGGATAAATATTTTATGTTTATGGACAAAAAGATTCAATATTTTCAATATGTCAATTCTTCCCAATTTGATCTATAAATAATATACAACCCCAATCAAAATTACAGGAAGTTATTTTGTAGATATCTACTAAATGATTCGGAAGTTTTTATGAAGTGGCAAAATATTCAGTATAGCTAGCACAATGTTAAAGTTGAAGAAAAAAAAAATGGAAGACTGATACTACCTGACTCAAAAGTTTGTTATAAAGCTACAGTGGTCAAGAGAGTGTGGTATTGGTAAGAGAACAGACAAATAGATCAATGGAACAGAAAAGAGTCCAGAAAGAGACCTACATAAGTACAGTATACCAATCTTTGACAAAGGCGAAAAGACAATACAGTGGAGAAAAGGAAATTTTTTCAAAAAACAGTGCTGGAACAACTAGACAACCACCTGGAGAAAAATGAATCTAAACATAAACCTTACACCTTTTACAAAAATTAACTTGAAGTGAATCACAGGCCTAAATGCAAAATGCAAAAATATTAAACTCCTACAACATAACATAGAAAAAAAAATCATATGACCTTGGGTTTGATGGTAACGTTTCAGATACTACAACAAAGGCATGATTCATGAAAGAAAAATTTGATAACTTGGACTTAATTAAAATTAAGAATTTCTGCTCTGTGAAAGATACTGTCAAGAGAATGATAAAACAAGCAACAGACTGAGAGAAAATACGTGCAAAAGACATATCTGATAGAGGGCTATTATACAAAATTTACAAGGAATGCTTAAAATTCAACAAAAAGAAAACAAACAAAAAATGAGCCAAATACATTAAAAGATACCTCACCAAAGAAGATATACAGATGGCAAACAAGCACATAAAATATGCTCCACATCATATGTCATTAGGGAAATGCAAATTAAAATTAAAACAACAATTAGATATTTCTACAAACCTATTAGAATAGCCAAATCCAGAACGCTGATAATACCAAATGCTGGGGAGGATGTGAACCAACAAGAACTTTCATTCATTACCACTGGGAATGCAAATTGTTACAGCTGCTATGAAAAACAGGCAGCTTCTTAGAAAATGAAACATACTCGTACCGTAGGATCCAGCCATACTGCTCATTGCTATTTATCCAAAGGAGATGAAAACTTATGTTCAGACAAAAACCTGAAAATTGATGCTTATAGTAGCTTTATTTATAATTGCCAAAACTTGGAAGAAACAGATGTTGGAGAATTGATAAATTATGGCACATCTAGAGAGTGGAATATTATTTAGCACTAAAAAAATGAGCTATCAAGCCATGAAAAGACATGGAAGAAACATAAATGAGTATATCACATTCTGGAAGAGGTGAAACTGTGGATACAGTAAGGCTAGTCGTTTCAAGGGTTAGGGATAGGGAGGGATACATAAGGAGAATCCAGAGGATTTTGAGTGGTGAAACTATTCTGCATAATACCATAATTGTGCATATATGTCATTAAAAATGTGTCCAAGCCCATAGACTCAATAAGACCAAAAGTGAGTTCTAACTTTAACTGTGAACCCGGGTTGGTAATGATGTGTCAAGTTATCTTCATCAATTGTAGCAAGTGCACTGTTCTCTAGGAAGATGTTGTTAATGACAGATGGTATATTAATATGGGAACAGGAAGTATATAGGAAATCTCTGTAACTTCTGCTCAGTTTTGCTGTGAACCTACAACTGTTCCAAAAATTGTTTTTGTTTTTTGTTTTCTTTCTAAATAAAGTTTATTTTTTAAGAGCTCCAGAAAGTCCAGGCGCAGTGGCTCATGCCTGTGATCCCAGCACTTTGTGAGGCCGAAGTGGGCAGATCACGAGGTCAGGAGATAGAGAACATCCTGGCTAACACGGTGAAATCCTATCTCTACTGAGAAAAACAAGCAATGGGGAAAGGATTCCCTATTTAATAAATGGTGCTGGGAAAACTGGCTAGCCATATGTAGAAAGCTGAAACTGGATCCCTTCCTTACACCTTATACAAAAATCAATTCAAAATGGATTAAAGACTTAAACGTTAGACCTAAAACCATAAAAACCCTAGAAGAAAACCTAGGCATTACCATTCAGGACATAGGCATGGGCAAGGACTTCATGTCTAAAACACCAAAAGCAATGGCAACAAAAGCCAAAATTGACAAATGGGGTCTAATTAAACTAAAGAGCTTCTGCACAGCAAAAGAAACTACCATCAGAGAGAACAGGCAACCTACAAAATGGGAGAAAATTTTCACAACCTACTCATCTGACAAAGGGCTAATATCCAGAATCTACAATGAACTCAAACAAATTTACAAGAAAAAAACAAACAACGCCATCAAAAAGTGGGCAAAGGACATGAACAGACACTTCTCAAAAGAAGACATTTATGCAGCCAACAGACACATGAAAAAATGCTCATCATCACTGGCCATCAGAGAAATGCAAATCAAATCCACAATGAGATACCATCTCCCACCAGTTAGAATGGCAATCATTAAAAAGTCAGGAAACAACAGGTGCTGGAGAGGATGTGGAGAAATAGGAACACTTTTACACTGTTGGTGGGACTGTAAACTAGTTCAACCATTGTGGAAGTCAGTGTGGCGATTCCTCAGGGATCTAGAACTAGAAATACCATTTGACCCAGCCATCCCATTACTGGGTATATACCCAAAGGACTATAAATCATGCTGCTATAAAGACACATGCACATGTATGTTTATTGTGGCATTATTCACAATAGCAAAGACTTGGAACCAACCCAAATGTCCAACAATGATAGACTGGATTAAGAAAATGTGGCACATATACACCATGGAATACTATGCAGCCATAAAAAATGATGAGTTCATCTCCTTTGTAGGGACATGGATGAAATTGGAAATCATCATTCTCAGTAAACTATCGCAAGAACAAAAAACCAAACACCGCATATTCTCACTCATAGGTGGGAATTGAACAATGAGATCACATGGACACAGAAAGGGGAACATCACACTCTGGGGACTCTTGTGGGGTGGGGGGAGGGGGGAGGGATAGCATTGGGAGATATACCTAATGCTAGATGACGAGTTAGTGGGTGCAGCGCACCAGCATGGCACATGTATACATATGTAACTAACCTGCACAATGTGCACATGTACCCTAAAACTTAAAGTATAATAATAATAAAAAAAAAAGAAAATTAAAAAAAAAAATTAGCCGGGCATGGTGGCTGGCACCTGTAGTCCCAGCTACTTGGGAGGCTGAGGCAGGAGAATGGCGCGAACCTGGGAGGTGGAGCTTGCAGTGAGTCGAGATCGCTCCACTGCACTCCAGTCTGGGCGACAGAGTGAGACTCCGTCTCAAAAAATAAAATAAAATAAAATAAAATAAAACTGCAGAAACAGTGTTATACTCCTTATCCCAAGATCCCCCAGTCTACCTACTTCATTTCTAAGGTCATGACAGTATAACTGGGGAAATTTGGAGTTGAATTAGATGTCATATCCAAAAAGTTGATGTGTGCATATTTGTGTTTGTATATATATGTGTGTATGTGTTTGTATATATATATGTGTGTGTATATGTTTGTGTGTATACATATATACACACACACACATAGTATGCTTTTTTCATATTTATATATTGATATATCTATATTTGAGAAATCTTTTAATGTGCTTTCGACCTTGTGCTGTGCATATATGTGTGTGTCTGCACATGGATTCATGTGCATGTGTATTTGTGCATACATGCCACAGTTAAACCAATGAGAAAACTGTTAAAATATCATATAATGGAATGTAATCTTCTAGTGAGATTATGAGGACAAAATATTTAGTAAATATTTTGGGAAACAGACTTTATAAAATTCTAATAATTATTCCAATATGATATTTGAGATGTGGAAACTATTTTAAAATAATTTGTAGAAGCAAAAGTGAAATACATAAACTTGTTTCAGTTGTTTAAAAAATTGTGAAATATGATATTAAAATAAAGCACATTTCTGTGATACTTTTTAGTAGTTAATTTCGCTATTGACATTTGGTTCATAAAAAAATATGGTATGAAGTCTTCAGCTTGTTGGGACTCTCAGTGAGAGCTCATTGCTAATGAATCATCATATTGATTCCTGTTGGATTCATTTGCTGTGATTTGTTCCCTGTCGAGAGACTTGAGCTGTAATTCTGGTTAGTAATTTCTATTAAATGCAATAAAATGAATCACATAAACTAATCATCACTTGACTATGCCCGTCATGAACAAAGAGAAAATATAATATTAAAATATGTTTATTTCCCAAATTGATTGTGACACAGAAATAGTGAGATCACAGATGAGTTCAGCTCAATTTGAAGAAAGTTTTTAGAATTTACTGAATTTTTCTAAAGCTAAGAGCATCAACATTTATAGTAGACTATCATCTAAAGATACATTATATGCATAGAGCTTTCAGTGAATGTAATCTTTATAATGAAAACAAACTCTAGAACACAGAGCTTACTTTTCGACATCATTTTTATAAGATCACTAAAGCATTGTGGTTACCTGCTATTACTCAATGTTATAGGTTGAATTGGCTTCCCCAAACTCAAAATATATTGAAGCCTAACTCCCAGTCCCTCTGAATGTGACCTTATTTGTAAAGAAGTTCTCTGTATACGTGATCAAATAAAGGTGAGATCATTAGAGTGGGCCCAAATCCAATACGACTGTTGGTGTACTAAGAAGAGGGAAATGTGGACACACACACAGGGAGAATGCCTTATGAGGACAGTGGCAGAGATTGGAGTAATGTAGCTGAAAGTAAAAAAAAATGCCAGTTGATGACCATCACCAGAAGCTAGGAAGTGGCAAAGATTTCTCTCTTACATGTTTCAGTGGCAGCATACCTCTGCTGACTCCGTGATTTTTCACTTCTCGCTCTAAGAGCTGTGAGACAGTACATTTTTGTTGTTTTAAGCCACTCCATTTGTGATATTGTGTTATGGCAGTCGTAGGAAACGAATACATTCAATTACAGGTTTTACTGAATTAGGAAATAAAATACAATGACAAAAGAAGCCTGAAACATGGGAATTCCAAATGTGCAGGTGAGAAAGATACTACTACTTGACTTATTCAAAAATTGGATTAAACTTTGAGTTAGGCAATTCAGTTATGTTTAGTCACTATGCTATCACTGATTTCATCACCCACAACTTTCTTCATATAGCTACCAAATACCACCTCTTAATATAATTGTACTAGACTATGAACCTTTTGTGTAGAAACAGAAATGAGATTTAAAAAACATGAGGAGAAGCACAAAATATGAAATATTTCTGCAAAAACAATCTGAGTTATTGTAATAATTTCAAACCATTCATGTTTTGATCATAATTTCTGAATGTGTTTAAGAAAGCAGAATAAAGCAATCTCATAGAGATCTATTATCCTCAATGAATAAAGGTCGTCTACGATTGATAAAAAGAACACAATGAAATATTATGATAAAAATATGTAAACAGTTCAAAGAAAATAACATGTATGGATGCTACAAATTATTTAAGAGAGAAAACATGTTTACCTATCAGAATAATAAAGATTTACAAATTTGTTAGGGCACTTAATGAGTATGTAGAAATCAGGTGCTCTCAAATATCACCGGGCTAAGTCCACATTGGTACAAATCCTTTGGAGGGCAATTTGGCAAAATATGAATGCATTTACCCTTTGATCAAACAATTTAACTTTTGAGATTTTATTTTTTTCTTATACTTGCACATATGTGAAGGGACATGTACACAGTGTTTCACTGAATCATTGTTTTTAATATAAAAATATTAGGAAAGCCTTATCTATCAATCAATAAGACTTAGGTGAGATAGCATATCCATGTAATGAAATAATACACAGCCATAAAAAGAATATGGAACTCTTTAGGAATAAAAGATTAATAAAAGATTGTTATCCAAAACATATTAAACACTTGAAGAAAGGTGCAATACAATGCATATATAATTTCAATTTAGAAAGGATAGAAAATTAGTATTTGCATATGAATCTATACCAATTTTGGAAGAGGAATTGGGTGTTTGGGTCACACAGTTTGGTGCAAAACTAATGGCTTGGCATGAATTTATGCTTTTTAATATTTGAACTTATGGTGGTATTACCTATGTAAAAGTAAAAATTTGGATGGGCACAGTGGCCCATAACTTTAGTCACACACTTTGGGAGGCTAAGCAGGGTGCATCGCTTGAGACCAGCCTGGGCAACATGTTGAAACCCTGTCTCAGCAAAAAATACAAAAAAATTAGCCAGTTGTGGTGGAGTGTACCTGTAGTCCAAGCTCCTCAGGAGGCTGAGATGAGAGAATTGCTTAAGGTCCAGGCTGCAGCGAGGTGTGACTGCGCCACTGCACAGCCTGGGTGAAAAAGTGAGATCCTGTCTCAAAATAAATAAATAAATAAATAAATAAATAAATAAAAAATTTTGCGAATTTTTGGAGAACAATTTTATATAGAACAACATAAAATCTATTGTTAAGTTCCTTTTATTCAAAAAACAAGATATTTAATAAGTAGAAAACTTAAGGCTCATTTAAAATGGATGATTCTGTTGTAGTGATGACAACCATGGAAATAATAAACAGTAGTGAAAACATCAGAAAACATTATCTCTACATACATAGAATATATGTACTTCTAATAGATAGTGTGGTTCTAGTCCTTAATTTCAAAAAGATGTCAGAAAACTAAGAATCCTCCAGAGAAAATTGGTTAAAGAGTTTCCTTTAGAAGAACAAAGCAATATTTAGATTTTTCTAACAGGAAAGGAAATTACTGAAAGTAAATAAGAACCAAACCTTGTAAAAATCATAATCAGTATACATAATCTGAAAATGGATTTGCCAAGTAATTTTCAAAGCTACAGAATATGTGGGCACTCCAGAACTGAAATACAATTAGGTACTACTATAAAAAAGAAACAAACTCTTCTTCTCTTTTACCTGGAAGGCAATACTTTTCTAGTACACACTACACGAAATGACATCAAGCTTATAAAACAAGTACTTTTCTTATAGGTTTATATAAATAATGGAAAGTAAAGACAAAATTAAGGACCAATTTTCATGGCTGATGATTTGGAGGACAAAATGTATTGCATTGCCATGCTTCGTTGGTACCACTGTGAGAAGAAGCATGCTATGAAGAACTATCTGTGACTAACCCAGTTTCTTCTGGGACTGAAGTAGGAGATTCCCCAAGTACTAATTCTGAAATGAATGAAGCATCAGGGGAGTAAAGGGATATAAGCTAATAATCAAAGTTGGACTAAAAAAATCACGTATATGTCTAAAGCAACAGGCCTTGGGATTTTGATATTTCTATTCAAACAAAAGCACTTGTAGGAACTTAATTTATTACCATAGTACATAAATCCTCCATAATTTACACTGTCTTTGCCAGTAGAAACACACTCTTTGTTGTTTATGTCCAAGATTTACATTGCTCTGTCAGTTAGAGGATCGATTCAGGTCAGGGAGAAAATCTCCAAACACATATTTTGAGCCAACAGGCAAAAATTAGACCACCTGGTGTTTGAATGCTGGAGGACAAAATACTTTTTGCTTTTTTAGAAAATTCAGTAGAAGGTGTGATGCAGGAAACTCTGTCAAAGTAAATGATTAGTTCCCCAAACGTGTGTAGCTGGCCAGAGAAGCAAAACAGGACGGATCCAAAAGCCAAACTTTGCTACATCTTTATTGACTCATCTTGATTCTTTTCTCAAATAGTTATATAAAAATAGGTATTTCTTTTGCCCTAAATAAATGCACTGTCATTCCCTCTGTGAGAACAGCTAAAGACAAATGGGTTAGCTGAGAGGAGATGGCCAATTGCAGGTTCAGCATCAGTTTGTTTATCTGTAGCTGGCTGATCTCATTAGATCCTGAAGAGTATCAGATAGAAAAATCTTTAAGAGATAGTCCCTCTTCATCTCATACTCATGGACACAGAAAAACATGCCTTAGTGCACAGCTACACTAACATCAGTTCAGTTTCAATTTGTTGGATGGTAGCAGGTTTCTAAACAGTTTACACCTTCCTACACTGAGATATTTGACCTCATTGAGTGCTCCGAAGAATGTGCCAGCCACTGAAAGCCTACCAAATTCTACCTGAAAGAATCCATCACTTTCATACTAGATCATTGCTAAAGCAATTACTTTTTCTATTTTCTTCCCATTTCTTATCACAGTGGAGGCACATTTAGCTCCCTTTCTGAACTATGTCAATTCTACCGCTAGAAGACAGTCAATCATAAACTAAAATTCAGTCACTTCTTAAAATGTAAAGGTTATTTTAGCTTTCCATTTTGGAGATATGCCTAATGTTAAACGATGAGTTACTGGGTGCAGCACACCAACATGGCACATGTATACATATGTAACTAACCTGCACGTTGTGCACATGTACCCTAAAACTTGAAGTATAATAAAAAAAGACTATGCCCTATTTTTATTTTAAATTTTATCTTTAATAATTACATAGATATTTAGTAATTATAAATTCAACATTTAGCTCCATTTAATCTATCCCATCTCAAAATTTTAGAAGCTACTCGTTAAATACTCCCTCCTTCTCTCTCTCTCTCACACACACACACAGACACACACACACACACACATTTTCTTTGTCTAATTGTATAACAAGGATGCCTCCAGATCTTTTTTGGTTGTCTTCTTGTATCATTACATGCTTATAGGACTGATACTGTTATTCAACTAAGAGAAAAGCACATCAAGCCCACACAAACCCACACGAGCCCACACACACTCACACAAATATTTAGTAATGAGTTGACTGGAGGAAGTTTCTTCCTGAAAAAAAAACTGATATTATTCCTAGATTTAAAAAGTGAAGAGTCACTCACTTTACAAATGATATATATACACCTAGAATAAGTGAAAGAATAAATCTGAAAGTTAAATGCTGTAGATTTCATTCTCATGTGATATCTCTGTGTTCTCAGAGATTGTACTAATTCATTATACTTCAATTTGCAAAAGAAACGATTCTGGTATGGTAAACTGTCAAACAGGTAAACATGTTTGTATGTTTCATAATGAGTTCCATTCCCTAAAAAATTAAGAACGTTTATTCTAGGCAATATAACATTCATATATTGCATTTTGGATCACATATAAAACAGAGTTTTTCTTATCCATAGAACTATTTATGCACTAATTCTGATTTTGACAAATGAGTTTAAATAAGTCATTCTTAAGGGCATACAAAGTAGAAGAGAAAAAAGGAAAGAGAAAGAGAAATGTCTGTAAATCTAAAATACTAAAAGTAACTATAACAATAATGCATGTATTTACCCCATATCTTTAGATTTAAAATAGGAAAATAGTATAAAAATAACCTTTACAAAATTTTAGTAATTATTTTTCTGCTTTGACAGGATAGATTATACCCACTAAAGCCATAAATGCTTTATTCTTCACTTTCAAATACAAGTAGCAAAAAAGGATGTTAAAAACTTCTATTCCAAACAAAGTTACAAAAATGCCGATTAAAACTATATAACATATTATAATTTTACCTACCAAATTGGTAAAAATATAAATAACCATAGACTATTTATGTAACAAGCATACTTTAAAATGTAAAATGAAACCTCAGGTAGGAGTATAATGGCTTTATAAAAAAATTATTAGGAGCCATAAATATATTTATACACTTTAACTTGGCAATTTCCCTCTTAGAAAACAAATTTTTTTAAATTCCCATTAATTGAGGGACAAGCTAAATTTGTGCCACCTTCATATGACACAATAAAAATAATTTTTCAGAAGCATATTTGATGGCATAAAAATGCTGATAGTATAATGTAAAATGATATTTTACAAAAGGTAATTAACAAACAACATAGGATTCATTTTATTATCACACTGGACATAATAAAAATACTGATTATCAGATATTAAAAGCTTGTGATATATATGATGCAGATGCCATCCATTCTAATGCACCCTTTTATTGTTTCTAATACTTTAAAAAGTGTTCTGTATTCACTACATCATTACAAACACACACATATACACGCACACACACAACCCATATACACCTCTGAAGACTATTTGAAGGCTATATATGGTCAAGAAACAGTTTTCATTAATTCAAACTTTCAGGAAGTAGACATTTGTCAATGCTATCTAACATTTCTTAAAAGTTAAAGCATAAGATATAGTCAGTTTTTGAAAAAAAAATATAAATCTGAAACTTTGCAAGTTTATTCTTTACTAATAAAAATCCCTTTATAATTTATCTTTATTCTTCCATAAGTAGCACATATGTCACTACTATACAAAATGGAAAATTGACAAATCTGATTGTATTTCAGCCAATGATACATACTTTGTGATTGCTTAGGGAAGAACTGCATTATTTTGTTAAACATAGCACATTTAATAAATATTTCTTTCATATTAGCACATAATAACTCATAAATATTGGGCATACAGGTAGACAATACACACGCATGCTGACAAAGAGGATGAGATTCATAATCATTTCATTGTTTTTCTCTTTAGAATCTATAGTATTTGCAAAAATTAGAGTTAGAACTTATGTGTGCTTTGATCAGTTTACCCAAGACTGTGAGATATTGGTAAAGCCAACAGACATATAAATAAACCCAGTTTTCTGTTATATCCTCCTCAAACATCTTTCTTTTATGTTGACTACCTACAAAATTATTAGCATGTCATAATTATACAAGGTAGTGCTTTCAGAAACTATTGACTTGTTTGGACTTTCTATAAATCTTTCCATCTTTCAGAGTAAGGACATGTGAGTTACCCTTTTACCAATGGAATAGTGGTTCTCCAGGCAATGGTTCTAATACTACAGCTCTCAGATCAGCAGTATCAGAATTACCTAGGAACTTAATAGGAATGGAAATTCTTGGCTTTCATGCAGGCCTATTGAATCAGAAATTACAAGATTGGACCTAAAAACCAGTGCTTTACCAAGTTCTTCAGGTGACTTTGAACGATGCTGCATTTGGAGAACCATAACTGTAAGGTACAGAAAGTTGTGAGACTTTCTGTCCATCTGATGTAAGGCCTTTCTGCAGAAAACAGTTTATGTCTTAGAGGTGAAGAAGCATTCATTGCTGGATATAATCAGCTAAAGCCAATATTGCTGAGTAATATGCAGTAGAGTTTGCATAGTAGTACAAACAAAGCCTTGGAATTTTTAATGGAACAGGTTTAAAACAAACAACTTAAATAAAAGTTATTAATATAATTTTGGGGGGGAAGAAAAGGTATTTAGGAAATATGTGAATAAGCTACTTCAGAAGAAAGTGAAATTCTGAAGAAATACTCTGGAAAAGACAGGAAAAAAGATTTAGATGAAAAATCTGCATAAACATATTTCTGAAATAGGCTATGAGATAGGCAAGAGAAGAGTGGGTAAAGAAAAAGTAGGCTAAGGAATAGAATAGTCAAATAAGCACAAAATATATAAACAAAGTAGTCAAATAACTTTTGGGAATAGGTATATATTGTAAGAAAAAATAAATTGTTTGCCAGACCTCCCATTTTGAAGGCTTTGATGGAATCCATTCGCATATCCAAATGCCATTTTTTGTGTCAATGAATCATTTTAAGGAAACAGCGGTTGAAGAATATGGACTAGAAAATATAATTTTTTAAATTTTCTCCTCATATGAGACCTAAACGGTGAGATTAAAGGCAGTTTTAAGAGCTATAAGCTATTAAAATTAAAAGAACAATTGGTAGTCATTAGCAGACTAGAGATTCCAACATATTTCTGGAAGGCATGTAAAAAGGCATGCGCTAATAAAACACAGTGCAAGTAGTTGCAGCCAGAAATATTTATGAAGAGGACTGAAGTTAAGGGGGCATAGATCTTTCCTAAAATACACTTAGAGGGTTGGGAGGCAGACCTGAAAAATCAAAAATTACAGACAGTAAAAAGGCTGAAAATAAGATGATCAAATGAAAATATTCTCATCAACTGCACTCTTCCATCATCCTCAATAAAATCACTAACATCCAATTTAAACTTCCCACTTTCAAAACAAAACAAAAGTTATTTTTCAAGTAATCATTTGGGAAAAACTGAAGCAGCTACCATGAACCTTAGTGCTGTTGATTAAAACTCCCTCCCCAGTGACCATCACTGGTACTTCGTTCACTGGAATAGAGAAAACGAAGGATAACAATTATCACAATTGTAAGAATCAAACATAATTTCCTAGAGATGAAGACTTACAGTATTAATTGTCTTGGTATCTCAATGAATAGTATGTTGTAAAAAACCTAGCCACATTTTTCTAGACTTTCTAGAGCAGCAAAAACATTGAGTTGATCCTAAGTTTCTCCCATTGGGAAAAAAAAACAGCTTATTTACAAAGACACATTGAAATGGTTGGTATTATTCTCATAAGTAATGTTGGATTCCATAAAATAATAGAACAATGACTTTAAAACTCTGAGAGAAAATTACTTTCAACCAATCAAATTTATTCTACAGTAAACTATCAATCAAGAGAGTAGAATAAAGTGAGGTTCACATATTCAAAGATTCAAGATTAAATCTTACATGCATGATTACATAAGAAATAGGATGTATAGAAGCAATAAAATAGCATTACACAATAAGTCACTGAATGAGGGACTTACAGGAACAGTTAAAATCTAATTTCAAACTTAGTTATCAGAAATATTTTCAAGTAGTTACCACCACTGAATGTAACTGAAGAATCAATATACACAAAAGCAATTATTCACAGGTTTCATATAATCCATGAAAACAGTGGCAAATATGACATATTTGGAAGACAAATTGTTGCTTATATCCCATGCATAACTGTTCTATAATCAGAACATTAGAAGCTATACATTTAAAATATATAAGGTTTGCCCTTTGGACAGTAAACTCCAAAGGGTAAGACTTACATATTCAAAATATTGATAAGTCCAACATACTATAGGAAAAAAAAGTGTTTTACAAATAAAATAACTGTTAGTACACGAGTTTATGTAGATTTAAAAAATCAAATAGATTCTAATATGTTAGAAATATTGAAGATGGCCAAATAGGAACAGCTCCAGTCTACAGCTCCCAGTGAGCAATGCACAAGAGAGGTGATTTCTACTTTTCCAACTGAGATACCAGGTTCATCTCCCTGGGGAGTGTCAGACAGTGGGTGCAGCGCACTGAGCATGAGCTGAAGCAAGGCGAGGCATCGCCTCAACCGGGAAGTGTAAGGGGTCAGGGAATTCCCTTTCCTAGTCAAAGAAAGGGGTGACAGACGGCACCTGGAAAATCGGGTCACTCCCACCCTAATACTGTGCTTTTCCAACTGTCTTAGCAAACAGGACACCAGGAGATTATATCCAGCACCTGGCTCAGAGGGTCCTATGCCCACGGAGCCTCACTCATTGCTAGCACAGCAGTCTGAGATCAAACTGCAAGGTGGCAGCAAGGCTGGGGGAGGGGCACCCACAATTGCCCAGGCTTGAGTAGGTAAACAAAGCGGCCAAAATTGGGTGGAGCCCACCACAGCTCAAGGAGGCCTGCCTGCCTCTGTAGACTCCACATCTGGGGGCAGGGCATAGCCATACAAAAGGCAGCAGAAAACTCTGCAGACTTAAATGTACCTGTCTGACAGCTTTGAAGAGAGTAGTGGTTCCCAGCATGCAGTTGGAGATCTGAGAATGGACAGATTGCCTCCTCAAGTGGGTCCCTGACCCCTGAGTAGCCTAACTGGGAGGCACCCCCCAGTAGGGGCAGACTGATACCTCACATGGCCTGGTACCCCTCTGAGACAAAACTTCCAGAGGAACAATCAGGCAGCAACATTTGCTGTTCACCAGTAGCCGCTGTTCTGCTCTGCAGCCTCCGCTGCTGATACTCAGGCAAACAGGGCCTGGAGTGGACCTCCAGCAAACTCCAACAGACCTGCAGCTGAGGGTCCTGACTGTTAGAAGGAACACTAACAAACAAAAATGACATCCACACCAAAACCCCATCTGTACGTCACCATCATCAAAGACCAAAAGTAGACAAAACCACAAAGATGGGGAAAAAACAGAGCAGAAAAACTGGAAACTCTGAAAGTCAGAGCACCTCTCCTCCTCCAAAGGAATGCAGCTCCTCACCAGCAATGGAACAAAGCTGGATGGAGAATGACTTTGACGAGTTGAGAGAAGAAGGCTTCAGACGATCAAACTACTCCGAGCTAAAGGAGGAAGTTCGAACCCATGGCAAAGAAGTTAAAAACCTTGAAAAAAAATTAGATGAATGGCTAAATAAAATAACCAATGCAGAGAAGTCTTTAAACGACCTGATGGAGCTGAAAACCATGGCATGAGAACTATGTGATGAATGCACAAGCCTCAGTAGCCGACGCGATCAACTGGAAGAAAGGGTATCAGTGATGGAAGATGAAATGAATGAAATGAATGAAATGAAGTGAGAAGAGAAGTTCAGAGAAAAAAGAATAAAAAGAAAAGAACAAAGCCCCCAAGAAATATGGGCCTATGTGAAAAGACCAAATCTATGTCTGATTGGTGTACCTGAAAGTGACAGGGAGAATGGAACCCAGCTGGAAAACACCCTGCAGGATATTATCCAGGAGAACTTCCTCAATCTAGCAAGGCAGGCCAACATTCAAATTCAGGAAGTACAGAGAACACCACAAAGATACTCCTCGAGAAGAGCAACTCCAAGACACATAATTGTCAGATTCACCAAAGCTGAAATGAAGGAAATAAAGTTAAGGGCAGCCAGAGAGAAAGGTCGGGTTACCCACAACGGGAAGCCCATCAGAATAACAGCAGATCTCTCGGCAGAAACTCTACAAGCCAGAAGAGAGTGGGGGCCAATATTCAACATTCTTAAAGAAAAGAATTTTCAACCCAGAATTTCATATCCAGCCAAACTAAGCTTCATAAGCGAAGGAGAAATAAAATCCTTTACAGACAAGCAAATGCTGAGAGATTTTGTCAACACCAGGCCTGCCCTAAAAGAGCTCCTGAAGGAAGCACTAAACGTGGAAAGGAACAACCGGTACCAGCCACTGCAAAAACATACACAATTGTAAAGACCGTCAAGGCTAGGAAGCAACTGCATCAACTAATGAGCAAAATAACCAGCTAACATCATAATGACAGGATCAAATTCACACATAACAATAGGAACCTTAAATGTAAATGGGATAAATGCTCCAATTAAAAGACACAGTCTGGCAAATTGGATAAAGAGTCAAGACCCATCAGTGTGCTGTATTCAGGAAACCCACCTCACATGCAGAGACACACACAGGCTCAAAATAAAGGGATGGAGGAAGATCTGCCAAGCAAATGGAAAACAAAAAAAGGCAGGAGTTGCAATCCTAGTCTCTGATAAAACAGACTTTAAACCAACAAATATCAGAAGAGACAAAGAAGGCCATTACATAATGGTAAAGGGATCAATTCAACAAGAAGAGCTAACTATCCTAAATATATATGCACCCAATACAGGAGCACCCAGATTCATAAAGCAAGTCCTTAGTGACCTACAAAGAGACTTAGACTCCAACACAATAATAATGGGAGACTTTAACACCCCACTGTCAACATTAGACAGATCAACAAGACAGAAAGTTAACAAGGATATCCAGGAATTGAACTCAGCTCTGCACCAAGTAGACCTAATATACATCTACAGAACGCTCCACCCCAAATTAACAGAATAGACATTCTTCTCAGGACCACACCACACCTATTCCAAAATTGACCACATACTTGGAAGTAAAGCATTCCTCAGCAAATGTAAAAGAACAGAAATTATAACAAACTGTCTCTCAGACCACAGTGCAATCAAACTAGAACTCAGGATGAAGAAAGTCACTCAAAACCACTCAACTACATGGAAATTGAGCAACCTGCTCCTGAATGACTACTGGGTACACAAAAAAATGAACGCAGAAATAAAGATGTTCTTTGAAACCAATGAGAACAAAGACACAACATACGAGAATCTCTGGGACACATTCAAAGCAGTGTGTAGAGGGAAATTTGCAGCACTCAATGCCCACAAGAGAAAGCAGGAAAGATCTAAAATTGACACCCCAACATCACAATTAAAAGAACTGGAGAAGCAAGAGCAAACACATTCAAAAGCTAGCAGAAGACAAGAAATAATTAAGATCAGAGCAGAACTGAAGGAAATAGAGACACAAATAACCCTTCAAAAAATCAATGAATCCAGGAGCTGGTTTTTTGAAAAGATCAACAAAATTGATAGAACACTAGCAAGACTAATAAAGAAGAGAAGACAGAAGAATCAAATAGACACAATAAAAAATGATAAAGGGGATATCACCACCAATCCCAAAGAAATACAGACTACCATCAGAGAATACTATAAACACCTCTATGCAAATAAACTAGAAAATCTACAAGAAATGGATAAATTCCTTGACACATACACCCTCCCAAGACTAAACCAGGAAGAAGTTGAATCTCTGAATAGACCAGTTACAGGATCTGAAATTGAGGCAATAATTAATAGCTTACCAACCAAAAAAAGTCCAGGACCAGAGGGATTCACAGCCGAATTCTACCAGAGGTACAAGGAGGAGCTGGTACCATTCCTTCTGAAACTATTCCAATCATTAGAAAAAGATGGAATCCTCCCTAACTCATTTTATGAGGCCAGCATCATCCTGATACCAAAGTCTGGCACAGACACAACAATAAAAGAGAATTTTAAACCAATATCCCTCATGAACATCAATGCAAAAATCCTCAATAAAATACTGGCAAACCGAATCCAGCAGCACATCAAAAATCTTATCCACCATGATCAAGAGGGCTTCATCCGTGGGATGCAAGGCTGGTTCAACATATGCAAATCAATAAATGTAATCCAGCATATAAACAGAACCAAAGACAAAAACCACATGATTATCTCAATAGATGCACAAAAGGCCTTTGACAAAATTCAACAACCCTTCATGCTAAAAACTCTCAATAAATTAGGTATTGATGGGATGTATCTCAAAATAATAAGAGCTATCTATGACAAACCCACAGCCAATATCATACTGAATGGGCAAAACCTGGAAGCATTCCCTTTGAAAACTGGCACAAGACAGGGATGCCCTCTCTCACCACTCCTATTCAAAATAGTGTTGGAAGTTCTGGCCAGGGCAATTAGGCAGGGGAAGGAAATAAAGGGCATTCAATTAGGAAATGAGGAAGTCAGATTGTCCCTGTTTGCAGATGACAGGATTGTATATCTAGAAAACCCCATCGTCTCAGCCCAAAATCTCCTTAAGCTGATAAGCAACTTCAGCAAAGTCTCAGGATACAAACTCAATGTACAAAAAATCACAAGCATTCTTACACACCAATAACAGACAAACAGAGAGCCAAATTATGAGTGAACTCCCATTCACAATTGCTTCAAAGAGAATAAAATACCTAGGAATCCAATTTACAAGGGATGTGAAGGACCTCTTCAAGAAAAACTACAAATCACTGCTCAATGAAATAAAAGAGGATACAAACAAATGGAAGAACATTCCATGCTCATGGGTAGGAAGAATCAATATTGTGAAAATGGCCAAACTGCTCAAGGTAATTTATAGTTTCAATGCCATCCCCATTAAGCTACCAATGACTTTCTTCACAGAATTGGAAAAAACTACTTTAAATTTCATATGGAACCAAAAAAGAGCCTGCATCGCCAAGTCAATTCTAAGCCAAAAGAACAAAGCTAGAGGCATCACGCTACCTGACTTCAAACTATACTACAAGGCTACAGTAACCAAAACAGCATGGTACTGGTACCAAAACAGAGATATACACCAATGGAACAGAAGAGAGCCCTCAGAAATAATGCTGCATATCTACAACTATCTGATCTTTGACAAACCTGACAAAAACAAGAAATGAGGAAAGGATTCCCTATTTAATTAATGGTGCTGGGAAAACTGGCTAGCCATATGTAGAAAGCTGAAACTGGATCCCTTCCTTACACCTTATACCAAAATTAATTCATGATGGATTAAAGACTTAAATGTTAGACCTAAAACCATAAAAACCCTAGACAAAAACCTAGGCAATACCATTCAGGACATAGGCATGGGCAAGGACTTCATGTCTAAAACACCAAAAGCAATGGCAACAAAAGCCAAAATTGACAAATGGGATCTCATTAAACTAAAGAGCTTCTGCACAGCAACAGAAACTACTATCAGAGTGAACAGGGAACCTACAGAATGGGAGAAAATTTTTGCAATCTACTCATCTGACAAAGGGCTAATATCCAGAATCTACAATGAACTCAAACAAATTTACAAGAAAAAAACAAACAACCCCATCAAAAAGTGGGTGAAGGACATAAACAGACAATTCTCAAAGGAAGACATTTATGCAGCCAACAGACACATGAAAAAATGTTCATCATCGCTGGCCATCAGAGAAATGCAAATCAAAACCACAATGAGATATCATCTCCCACCAGTTAGAATGGCAATCATTAAAATGTCAGGAAACAACAGGTGCTGGAGAGGATGTGGAGAAATAGGAACACTTTTACACTGTTGGTGGGACTGTAAACTAGTTCAACCATTGTGGAAGTCAGTGTAGCAGTTCCTCATGGATCTAGAACTAGAAATACCATTTGACCCAGCCATCCCATTACTGGGTATATCCCCAAAAGATTATAAATCATGCTGCTATAAAGACACCCACACATGTATGTTTATTGCGGCACTATTCACAATAGCAAAGACTTGGAACCCACCCAAATGTCCAACAATGATAGACTGGATTAAGACAATGTGGCACATATACACCATGGAATACTATGCAGCCATAAAAAATGATGAGTTCATGTCCTTTGTAGGGACATGGTTGAAGCTGGAAACCATCATTCTTAGCAAACTATCGCAAGGACAAAAAACCAAACACTGCATGGTCTCACTCATAGGTGGGAATTGAATAATGAGAACACATGGACACAGGAAGGGGAACATCACACTCTGGGGACTGTTGTGGGGTGGGGGCTGGGGGGAGGGATAGCATTAAGAGATATACCTAAGGCTAAATGAGGAGTTAATGGATTCAGCACGCCAACATGGTACATGTATACATATGTAACAAACCTGCACATTGTGCACATGTACCCTAAAACTTAAAGTATAATAAAAAAAAAGAAATATTGACATTAATCCTCCCACTAATCTTAATATTACATAGCTAGGGTTGTTACTATACTGTACTTTAACCATCTCAATTTAAAGAGATTTAGAAATAGAAGTAGTAGGCCATACTTGGAAAATAGTTATTTCTCTTATGAAAAATAATTATCAGGGAATTTCAATTGACTGCATGGAAAAGAAAGATGGTTTATAATAGTTTTTTTGAAATTCTTGTGAAACAAAACCAGAAAGATGGGCCATAAAGAAGATTTATGCTATTGATAAGAAAAGAATCCCAACTAAAAATAAGAACTGATAATTTATCACAAATTACTAACAGACCAAATCCAGCAGCATATTAAAAGGATCCTATATCATGATTTTGTGTGATTTATTTCAGCAATACCAGGGTGGTTCAACATACAAAACTCAATCAATGTACTATACCATATTGATAAAACAAAGAGAAATAAACAGAAATTCTTCTCAGTTCATGCATAAAGAGCATTTAAAAAAATCTAACATTATTTCATCTTAAAAACAATGGGAAGTCTGAAAATTAAAAGAAGCTTCCTCAACATAATAAAGGGCATTTGTGGAAAACCCACAGCTACCATCATATTTAAAGGTGAAAGATTGAAACCTATCTACTTAGATAAGGAAGAAGACAAGCATTTCCACATTTGCCCTTGTGCTTTAACATTGGTACTGAAAGTTCTAGTCAGAGTAATCAGCCAAAATAAACTACACTGGAAGAATTAATACTATTAAGATGAAAATACTACCAAAAGCAATCTACAGGCTCAATGCAATCCGTATAGAAATCCCAATGATTTTTTTCTTTTTTTGCTAAAATGTAAATGTTAAAGAAAGCTGATCCTAAAATCCAGTGGAAGGCAAGGAGCCCCAAAGCTAAAACAATTATGAAAAATAATATAACAGGGTAATTTGCCCTTCAAATCTTATTGCAAAGCACCAGTAATCCAGATAATTTGATACTGACATAAATATAAATATATGGATCATTGGCATAAGGATAAACATACTGATCAATTGGAAGTTCAGAAGTAAACCCAGGGGCCTATGGTCAACTGGTTGTTGACATGGGTGCCAAGACCATTTTTTGAAGGCAAGAGCAGTCTCTTCAACAAATGTTGCTGGAACAACTGGAAATCCACACACAGAAGAATGAAGTTGGACTCCTACCTCACATCATATAAATAATTAACTTATAATGGATCAAAGACTTAAATATAAGTGCTAAAACTATAAAATTCTTAGAAGAAAGAATGCGGAAAATCTCTATGACCTTGGATTTGGTAATAATATCTCAGATCTGACACCGAAAGTATGAGCAATGAAAGAAAAATAAATTGGACTCTAGCAAAGTTAAAATATTTTGTGTATCTAAGGACACTATCAAGACAGCGAGAGAAAGGGAAAGAGAAAGACAAGCCACATAATGGGAGATATTTGCAAATCTTATATCTGATAACCGCCTAGTATGCAGAAAGTATAAAGAACTTTCACAAGTCAACAACAGAGAAAAACAGTTATTTTAAAAAGTGGACCAAGGACTTGAAGAGACATTTCTCCAAAAAAGAAATACAAATTATTTACAAGCACATGAAAAGATGCTCAACATAATTAGTCATTAGGGAAATGCAAATTAAAAGAACATATCACTTCATACCAACTATGGGGGCTATAATAAAAAACAAAATTCAAACAAACAAAACATACATATATTTGGCTAAGTTTCTTTGAGGACTGAGGATTCTCAGAAGTAAGTAATTAAAAATATTATATCCTCACAATTTTATGTATTATCATGGCCAGAGGCAGAAAAATTGATGAGGCAAACTTCCAAAAATCTCTTAATTGAAGTTACAGCAATACTATGAAATTAAGACAGAATTGTGACCTTGATTGAACAGACCTTATAAATGACAACAGGCCTACAAATTTGATGTTGAAGTTTTCTGGTAAAAGGAAGTAATTATCTCAAAGCAACTGGAAACCACAATCTACTAATATTACATGATTAAATACTAGATAATAATTTCATGAAAAAATTTTCACAATGGGAAATGTGTTGATCTTTTTCAGGAATATTTTTATTAAATCATGTTGAAAACCACAGAAAATTATTTAAATAAAACAGACCCCTTAACTCTATTATCATGAATTAGGCAGTATAATTAATGGCGTGATTTATATTTACAAACGAATCTCAGATAATGCCTTAGTGTAATTTTTTTCTATTTTTAAACTATGCAAACATTTAATCAATTTGAAAGGAAACAAAGCCTATTTAGCTATTAATTAATTGAACTATTAGTCAACAGATCAAATTGGTGTCAAAAGTGTTTCATAATGATTCGTTTGTGAAGATCACAATATAAATGTAACAATTGAAAGAAAATTAAAGAGATAACAAAATATACTTTATAATTTTAAAAGTGCATTTCTTTTGTTTAACATTTCAATATAAACATTTTCTTCAAGTAGACAGCATTTAAATTTCTTTTTTTTATTTTATTATTATTATACTTTAAGTTTTAGGGTACATGTGCACAATGTGCAGGTTAGTTACATATGTATACACGTGCCATGCTGGTGTGCTGCACCCATTAACTCCTCATTTAGCATTAGGTATATCTCTTAATGCTATCCCTCCCCCCAGCCCCCACCCCACAACAGTCCCCAGAGTGTGATGTTCCCCTTCCTGTGTCCATGTGTTCTCATTATTCAATTCCCACCTATGAGTGAGAACATGCAGTGTTTGGTTTTTTGTCCTTGCGATAGTTTACTCAGAATGATAATTTCCAATTTCATCCATGTCCCTACAAAGGACATGAACTCATCATTTTTTATGGCTGCATAGTATTCCATGGTGTATATGTGCCACATTTTCTTAATCCAGTCTATCATTGTTGGACATTTGGGTGGGTTCCAAGTCTTTGCTGTTGTGAATAGTGCCGCAATAAACATACGTGTGTGTGTGTTTTTATAGCAGCATGATTTATAGTCCTTTGGGTATATACCCAGTAATGGGATGGCTGGGTCAAATGGTATTTCTAGTTCTAGATCCCTGAGGAAGCGCCACACTGACTTCCACAATGGTTGAACTAGTTTACAGTCCCACCAACAGTGTAAAAGTGTTCCTATTTCTCCACATCCTCTCCAGCACCTGTTGTTTCCTGACATTTTAATGATTGCCATTCTAACTGGTGTGAGATGGTATCTCATTGTGGTTTTGATTTGCATTTCTCTGATGGCCAGTGATAGTGAGCCTTTTTTCATGTGTTTTTTGGCTGCATAAATGTCTTCTTTTGAGAAGTGTCTGTTCATGTCCTTTGCCCACTTTTTGATGGGGTTGTTTTTTTCTTGTAAATTTGTTTGAGTTCATTGTAGATTCTGGATATTAGCCCTTTGTCAGATGAGTAGGTTGTGAAAATTTTCTCCCATTTTGTAGGTTGCCTGTTCACTCTGATGCTAGTTTCTTCTGCTGTGCAGAAGCTCTTTAGTTTAATTAGATCCCATTTGTCAATTTTGGCTTTTGTTGCCATTGCTTTTGGTGTTTTAGACATGAAGTCCTTGCCCATGCCTATGTCCTGAATGGTAATGCCTAGGTTTTCTTCTAGGGTTTTTATGGTTTTAGGTCGAACGTTTAAGTCTTTAATCCATCTTGAATTAATTTTGGTATAAGGTGTAAGGAAGGGATCCAGTTTCAGCTTTCTACATATGGCTAGTCAGTTTTCCCAGCACCATTTATTAAATAGGGAATCCTTTCCCCACTGCTTGTTTTTCTCAGGTTTGTCAAAGATCAGATAGTTGTAGACATGCAGTGTTATTTCTGAGGGCTCTGTTCTGTTCTGTTGATCTATATCTCTGTTTTGGTACCAGTACCATGCTGTTTTGGTTACTGTAGCCTTGTAGTATAGTTTGAAGTCAGGTAGCATGATGCCTCCAGCTTTGTTCTTTTGGCTTAGGATTGACTTGGCGATGCAGGCTCTTTTTTGGTTCCATATGAACTTTAAAGTAGTTTTTTCCAATTCTGTGAAGAAAGTCATTGGTAGCTTGATGGGGATGGCATTGAATCTATAAATTACCTTGGGATTGTATATCTAGAAAACCCCATTGTCTCAGCCCAAAATCTCCTTAAGCTGATAAGCAGCTTCAGCAAAGTCTCAGGATACAAAATCAATGTACAAAAACCACAAGCATTCTTATACACCAATAACAGACAGAGAGCCAAACCATGAGTGAACTCCCATTCCCAATTGCTTCAAAGAGAATAAAATACCTAGGAATCCAACTTACAAGGGACGTGAAGGATCTCTTCAAGGAGAACTAGAAACCACTGCTCAATGAAATAAAAGAGGATACAAAGAAATGGAAGAACATTCCACGCTCATGGGTAGGAAGAATCAATATTATGAAAATGGCATTTAAATTTCTAAAGTAGGAAAAAAGCATTTCAGGCCTCAATAATTTTTATCAAATACAAAATTACAATCTACTCATTCTTTAGAGATATTAAAATAAAAATTTACAAACTTGCTGTGTATACTTGCAATCTTTTATAGAGTGTTTAAGTATTATATTTGCAGGAAGTTTCATAGAGAGTAAAAAACACTGCTTCTAATGTAAATAATTACCTTCTACTTTCAGATATTCCTCCCTTTTACAAACAAAGTGAATCTAAGAAGATATACAACATTCCATTTCCGAGAAAATAGGGGGCTTTTGAAGCATAATCAAAGATAAAATAATTAGAAAACAGCAAGGAAAAGAAAGAAAAATTTTTCATTTTATTTATTTTGGTGGGAGGGTTGCCATAGTATTCAGTGGACCAAATTATTCTCAATTTTACTCAGAAGTTCAGTAGAATTTTAAAGAGACCGAGTGGAGGGAAAAGTTATGGAACTACTATGAAACTTTGTGATAAACAGAAAATATGTTTGGAAAATTGCAGTCATTCAGCCTCAAATTTATGTTCCAGTCTCCTGGCATGGCTTATCATTTCTTAGGCATCCACATCACTTATTCTTGACCACAAGACTGAATCTTTGAAGTCTTAAATCTTATTAGCCCCTTGGAAATAGACACAGTGTAGCCTTCAGTATTCAAATACATTTCTCTCTGTTTTGTTTGTGAAGCATAGAATTTAAAATTTTTTCAGTAGAACTGATTTAACCAATAAGAAATATGGATTGGAACATATTACTTTTTGTAATATAAATTAGTGATCAAGGTACATTAGATAACAAACTTCTCCTAATATCTTACACCACTTAAAATAATGTAAGTCAGATTTGCAACTGATACATACAAATAATACTTTTAAGAATATATTTCCACAGTAATCCGATTAAGAGGTAAAATTTAAGGGAAACATTACATATATATATGTGTATATATATATAATGTATAAAATTGTACATATTGTCCACATTTTCTATAATTCTTATCAGTTGTATTTGAATTATAATGTATATAAAATAAAATGGAGAGGTTTTTAAGTATAGTATTTGATAGGTTTTGCTAATTGTATTATAAGCCTATGTAACCACTACTCAAATCAAGATACTGACTTTTCCCATTATTTCCCAAATTTCCCATACACTCCTTTTCAATCATTCCCACTTCTACCCAAAAGCAACAACAGTCTAATTTCAATTATCACAATAGTTTGCCTACTTTACAAATTCCGTATAAATCAGATCACATACATACAGAATATACCATATATATGATATATACTTTTTATATCTGACTTTTTTAGCTCAATAAAGACTTTTTTAGATTCATCCACATTTTGCCTGCATTCGTTTTTGTTGCTTTGCCTTTCAGTGTAGTATTTCATTGTATGAATATAAGATAATGTATTTATCCATTCTATTTTGGGCCACTTGAGCTGTTGCAGGTACTGGCTAATATGAATTAAATGTGCTATATGAATAGTTTTGTGTAAGTATTTTGGTGGACATATGATTTCATTTCTCTTGGGCAAATATCTGGGAATGGGGTTGCTTGATTTTAGGATTGACAGATATTAAATACACTTCTCTAAAATTGTTGTACTATTTCACATACATTTTTCCTACCACAAAACGTGGTGTATGGGAGCTATAGTTTACAATTGTTTCACATCCTTGCCAAATTTTGGTATTGTTAATGTGTGTGCATGTGTGCATGTATGTGTGTGTGTCTAAAAGCCATTGTAGTTGTGCAAAACCTTATCTTGTGGTTTTAATTTGCATTTGTCTAATGATATTAGCATTGAGCATATTTTTCATACTCACATTAAGGTGACGACCCAAGTCTTTTGACCATTTTTTAATGTGTTGTTTTTTTCATATTTACTCATAAAAGTTGTTTAAATATTTTGGATAAAAATTCTTTGACAGTTATTAAATATCGATTACTTTTCCCGACTCTTTTTCTTATCTATTCATATGCTTAATTGCAATTTTATTGAGAAGAAATGTCATCAATTTTTTCATGCTTGATGCTTCTTATTTTTTGCCAATGAAATCGTTGCCTACTTCCAAATTGAGAAGATTTACAGTTCCAGTTTTTAGGTTAGGTTGGTGATTTATCCCAAATTAATTTTATGTGTGAAATAAAATGAAAGCATATGGTTTACATATTTTATGCAAATATCTAGTAATTTGAGAATTTTCTATTAAAAAGGCCTTCTTTTTTCCATTGAGTTGCCTGAGTGTTTTTGTCAAAAAACAATTGACTGCACGTGTGTGGATAAATATCTCTACTCATTATGTTTTGCTGAAATATTCTTACGGCAATAACACATGACTTTATTACTAGAAGCAGTAGCATTATAAAAAATAATCAAATCATATTAAGTATTCAAACTTTTTTTTTTTTATCCAGGTTATTTTGGTTACTCTAGATCTATTCCGAATGCTGTGTGTGTGTGTGTGTGTGTATCTTCTATCTTGTAGCCTTGGGTAGTTGTTTTGTAATTTCTTAGTGATTTTAAAAACACACTTACGTAATCTGCAAATGATTATCATTCTACTTCATGTATCCCAATATTTATGTATCATATTTATTTTTTTTCTGCTAAATTACACTACCATAAGAATTCTAATGCAATGTTGAGTACAGGAGTAGGAAGAGATCTTGCCTGTTCCCAACTGCTGGGAATAAGTATTCAGTGATTCATCTGTAACAATAAATTAGCTAGCTGTAAGGTTTTCATAAATGCCCTTCAGAAAAGTGTGGAAGTTCTCTTCCAGTCTTACCTTTTTAAAACATAAATGAGTGTCATGTCAGGCTTTTTTTTAATGCCTATTAAGTTATTTCTCCTTTATTCTATTAATATGGTGAATTAGTGAGTTGATTTTCAAATGTTAAACCAACTTTTCAATCCTATAGCAAACTCTGCTCCATTATGATTTATTATTATGTATTTCTGAATACAACTTTGGAATTTTTTTAAGGATTTTAACTATGTTTGTAGTGGTAAAAAACCTGCAATTTCTTCTTTGTTATGTCTTTATCAGGTTTATGTATCAGAGATATGCTGCCTCATGAAACACATTGGAAAGTGTTTCCTTCCTTAATTTCTGAGTGTGTAATGTTGCTTTTACTTTTTCGTTTTTTCCCCAAATGCTTGATAGAATTAACCTGCCAATCTTTCCGTGCCTGGAGTTTTCTTTGTGGAATGTTTTTGTTTAAATTTACATTCCTTAATAGAATATAGATATTCAATTATTTTATTTTTTCTTGTTAGTTTTGCTAAGTTAAATTTTATTTCAAATGAAAGTTAACAATTATGCATGTGTATGTGTGTGTCCATTTTCATTCTAATCCAAAACATCTGCAAGACAGGACTTTTCTTTCAACACATATATTTATTTTAATTTGCTAATTTCAGACAAGACTCAAGATTTTATAAGTCTTTTGATGCTTCACATGTTGTAAATTTATTCACATTGAGAATTGGCAAAAAAAAAAAAAAAAAAAAATGCCGAAAGTGTAACAAGATAAAGAATCTTTCCAATTGCCTAAATCTTCTTATATCCTGTCTTCATAGTGCAGTTTGCTTATTAAATTTGAAATATCACCAATTAAAAGGTAGTATAGCAAGTATATTCAAATTTAAGCCTTCTTTAATATTTTTTATGGCAAGGCAAAAATATAAATTAAAATAAATTGAACAAGCAAATGTTTTGACTTTTATTAAATGTTTTATATTTAATAATAAACCTTAGTTGAAGATGAAAACGTTGAATTAGGAAGCAGATGCCTAATCACACAGATATTGCTAAATAATGTTCCATGCTAGAAAAATCTCTAAGCTATGATAAAAAGCATAATATGATGAAACATAATTCACCTTTGGATTCAGACAGATCCGGGTGTGAATCCTACCTTTGTCCTTCCTGTCTATGTGATCTTGAGTAAGTCATTTACTTTGTGTGACTTCCGGTATCCTCATTTACGAAAAAGTTATGAAAATTAAATGCTACTGTTCTTCAATACATATTTTCTTCTTCTGTGGTGGGCAAGGCCAAGATGGAGGGAGGGAGAAGGAGTTTCCCATATTTTCACCAGAAATATTGAATTAGGCCAGAACTCAAAAAGTGTTTTACATACCTAAGATATTATGATTTTGTACAACCCAAGTAAAAAAGAATGTATGTTTAATATATTTATTAAGCAAACAGTATGTATCAAGCACTTTTACATATTAACCTTTTTTAAAAACTAAAATCTACAAATTAGACATTAATAATATCATTTTACACATGGAAAAAGTAAGGTTAAGAGACTGAAATAATTTCATGCAGAATATGGCAAAGGAGAGATTTTAATATCCAAGTTCAGATCTTCAGTAAATAAGAAAACCATCTCAGTTTTAAATTGTGCATTTGATTTGTACTATCAATGCCCTCAAAATCTTTAAGAAGACTTTATCAAATAAATGAATGTTAGCATGACTTTTACATGCTCATTTAGTTCACAAGTTACAATATTATCAGACAGCCAACTCTTATGTCAGTCTGTTATTTTGATCAACTCTGTGGTGCGAAAAATGCATCCATACTTACTATACAAAAACTAAAGTTAAAACATTATAACCTAACAACTAGAAAAATTACTTACACTTGTTATAAGTTAGGTTTTTTAATGTATCTTTTAAAGAAGAAATAATTTTTTTAATCAAAATATAGGTGTTATATAAAATGAGAAAAAAAGAAACAAAATTATGAATGTATTAAAAAATCAAGGAAATCTGTATCCACATATGTTTACCTTCATTCAAATCAGTCTTTTTTAGATAAAGAGCTATGAAGAGACAGTTTTATTCATGCAACAATAATATTAACAGGTGCTTCATTTAACAATAAAAAAAAAGATGTTCTTTTAAAGCTGATGCTGATGTGGCTCCTTTAAAGATTGAGGATTTACAGAGTTTGCCTTTTTAAAGTATTTCTAATAGGCAAAAAGAAAATGAAATAAACATAAAAAGAAGATATACTGATCACATTAATTTAATATTCTAAATTAATCCTAAGCAAAATGAATATGTTGAATTCAATGCCTACTTAGAACAGTTTAATTTGGGCTTCATTTGGGGGTGGGGTGGAAGGTGGACTTCTTTAGCTCATTGCTTTTACTAGATGGGGAAATCAAAAACTGCTATATGTTGCCAAAGATGGTTCTCAAAAAATAACTACTTTGAATATTTTGCTCTGTGAATGACTATACAAACCTCAACTGAATTCTGTAAACCACAAAATCACTAGAAATTTTGCCACTTGAAATGGGAAACATCTCTTACCTATGTTTTGTTCAGTGTTTGCACTTTAATGTGAAAGTGGATAAATGATCAGACCTTTAGTTCAGTGGTTAATTACCTATGTACTAAAGCGAAATATCACTTTCCAATTTTTGGCCACAAATATCATTTCTTTAAATAAATCACAAGAATGCATCTCAAGTAAATGTTAGGAGAAATTATGTAAGTTCAATAAAGGCAAGAAAATTTATGGATATATTATGCTGCAGAACTACATTGGCACAGCATATTCACTGTATACTTTATAGTCATTTTTTATTACTTTGTATTTAATTCTCCGTGTATGAGAACCTAAATATGCATGGGAAACTCTATTAGTGTATTTTGTATTTCTATGAGATTATTGCTGAGTTGACTACATTCTCTACATATCTACTTCTAAATATCATGAAATGACTTAAATCTTTCTAAATAAAAATTATATGAAAATTATATTACTGGATGCACACAATTCCAGCCCTCTACTTTTTACTCTGTAAATAAGTTTCCATTTTCAGTTCCTGTTGCTGAAGCAATTGGTCTAAACAGCTGTAGTTAGTGGGAATTTATAAGGATAATAAAATAGACTGGTGGTTTTTCTATTGCACCTGTATCTGGTTCTGTTGAGAGACAATTCTCTGTTGGTTTCTCAAGTTTCCTTAGTCTTGGAAACAAAGCACTGGTAGCCCTTTTGGTCTGGATTAAGTTTTCAAAGATGCTTATACAGGTTGAGCAACCTGAATCCAAAAACCCAAATCTGAAATGCTGTAAAATTTGAAACATTTTGAGCACCAACATGGCATCCAAAGAATATTAGCACTGAAGCATTTTGGATTTTGGATTTTCAGATTTGAGATCCTCAACTGGTAAGTATAATGCAAACATTCTAACATCCAAAAAAATGCAAAAATCTGAAATCGTTCAGATTTTTCAATTAATCCTCATCATTGAGAAGTGTTGTATAAATATTACTTCACAAAAAGGCTTGTAAATATCTCCATAAGAATCTGCAACATTAAAACCTTATTTTCCGTGTTCAAAATTAAATGCACACTCTCAGACAACTCTTGATGGCTCTGTCTTTTGGATAAAGGATCTCAAATCTGTATAGCAAAAAACACTGAAGATATAGATAGTGATTCTCACTAGAGCAAAGGTCAGGCATGGTTACTGTCCAGTAAACTAAGTCCAGACATGCTTACTACCCATTATAAATGATTTTTTGTACCTAGGATCAGGTTTCTCTTTTTTTGTTATTGCAACCCAACTGTGTACAGGTAGCATCTAGCTCTCTTTGTGCTACCCTGTGGGAATTGGAACTTGGGCACAAACACAAGAAAATGCTGACACACTGGCTATGATTCCTGTGAAAAATAAAATATTTTCTCTTTGTCCCAAGAAGTTCTGCCAGCATCCATAGAACTGGCAGGCTAACCTGTAAGCTATTATAGCAAGTAAGATAAAACATCAGATTCACAGTTCTTTACAGGATCCCTCAACAACTAAGATAGGGGTATTACTCTTTGGATTTCTCTTATGAAATAAAACTTCTCTTTAACTGTAGAAAATAATTGCTTTAGTGCTGGGAACATGTTGATACTGGAATATGAGCTATAATCAACTTGGACTATATTGGTTTATCTCCAAGTTCATAATACTAGAAAGATGTTTTAAAGATGTTGTCTCATTTTATTATTTTAAATACTCTTATCAATCAGGTAAGTATCAGATTTGGGGGTTTTAAAGGAGAGCTGGTTGGGATATAATCTTCCATGTTTTAAATGTGTCTCCTAAAGTTCATGTGTTGAACTTAGTCCCCAGTGCAACAGTTGAGAGTGGAACTTTTAAGAAGTGATTAGGTTATGAGGACTCTGCCCTTATGAATGGATTAATGCCATTATCATGGGAATGAGTTAGTTATTGCTCCTTAACTCATGTTATGCCTTCTGCCATGATATGATGCTGCAAGAACACCCTCACCAGGTGTGGTCTCTCAATCTCGGACTTCCCAGCTTCCAGAACTGTTCTCTATAAATTACCCAGTCTCAGATGTTCTCTTTTAGCAGCACAAAACAGAATAAGACACAGTTACAATGCCAAAACAATGAAATTCATTGTGTAAATAACGCTATTTTACCAAAAGGCTTGCAAATAAATAATCATTTATTTACTAACTCATTCAATAGACTCTTTTTCAGCAGTTATACTTGAAAGGATGTCTTTGGTAATATGATGTATATAGCATATTTATATGCCTTGTTTAGAAATCATTAAAAATCAAAGAATATGTGAAATTTATTATAGCAACAGATAATTTCTATGGTGAACTACCACCACTTTCTATTGTATGTAATGGGTCACTCTTCATTGTACATACTGATTCACACAACAAATTGTCACCACTACAAAATAGTAGCTTTCATAGATATAAAACATGTGACTTAACATCTTAGCTGATTGCAGAATGTCTACATAACCGTAAATTAACCATCTTCAAAATATTCATTAACAAGAAGAAAAGAAATTCCTGCATTTTCCTTGTAGTTATTTTGTTTAGTGGGACCATCAGTCGCTTCTTATTTACTTGGACCAAAATACCTGAGGGGCAAAATTAATCTCCACCATTAGAAGTGTTTTATAAATGTTACTTCATAAAGGCTTTTAATAACAATCAGAACTATTAAAACCTTATTTTCCTTGTTCAAGATAAAACATACAGTCTCAGACAACTGTTGATGTTGCAACTTTAATTCTGTAGTAAACAGAATTGGAATGTGCAGACTACTTACATTAGTAAGTAGTGACTACAAAAACACACAAATGATGGGAACTTTTTAATTACATTATATATTACATCTAAAACTAACTCTTGTCCCTTTGAACCTGTGCTAGTGAAATTAATGAAATAAAAGCAATGTCATAATTCTAAATAAAAAGGCTTAATGATGTCCATGGAGTGGTGTAGAAGCAAATCAGTTAAAACAGAAAGCAGAAGCTTTTAAAACTATGTTACTATCAAATATAACTTTGGGTACCTTTCAAGTGAATGCCTGGGTAGGAATTTCAAGTTAATACATGTTGCTTCCCTAATTCCACACCTAGAAGCCAGCCACAGAAAATTTCTACATTTATTTTGAAAGAGTTTACCAATATAAATGTTATTTTAAAAATCATTTGATCTAGTTTGGGTGACACAACCAACATGTAAATATCATAAAGAAGATCATATATTGTTACACACCCAGTTTTTGCCTTGTATTTGTTTGTGGATAAAGGAAATATACTCTTCTTAAAATAGTAGTTGCTTTGAAAATGTAGTCAGCTTTCATTACTTCAGGGCTTTTCTTTTTCAATTTATTTTTCCATGTAGTAATTTAATATGTTGGTACATGCCTCCAGAGATCTCTTATAATGTTTCTTGACATGAGTGACACCTCTAATCTCTGAAATGATTCTCTTCACTCTTTAACCTTGACACAGAAATCTCAGCATTACAACTTACTTTTTTAAAGTCCCATGGTGGGGGTGAAAGGAGAGACAGAGAAGGAATACCCAGATTACACAATAAAATGAATTTTATCCAAAGTAACTTTTTAATTTTGAGGTCGTTGCTTTATGTGTGAATGACTTCTGCTGATAATGTTACAGGAAGGTGTGGAAAACTAACCTAGTTGAGCAAAGACACCACGTGTTATTTTATTCTGGACCCTTGCTTAGATTAATTCATATGTTAAAATGTGGCAAGACTCTTAAAGAGGGCTGCTTACCTTTGGGGAAAGGCTGTTTTAAGTGATGGATCTCAGGTAAAGAAGATAGGAACTAAGAAAAGCAGGTCAGAAACAGAAGAGTTTGTAATATTATCTCACATTAACAGCTTCCACATTAATATGATGAAGCTACAACAAAGGATCTTATTGCTGAGCTGTGATAAATCAGGCAAAAATGTGCAATAATTAATCATTTGAAGTATTTTAATCAGTGTTAAATGAAAGGCTAACAAGGAAGGTAAATGAATGAAAGGCTGAATATCAGACTCTTAAAGATGCATGGTTTAGAGACATGGCATATGTTGTCATGCTGTGTTTTTGTTCTCCAGGCTATGATGCAGTGAATGTAACTAGAAAAATATAACCTCATGCAACAGCATGGCATGGACCGATCTATCTACAAGATTTAGTGCTCTATGGTTTGTCCATGCAGCAGTGTTTTGGAAGATAATTTTTAAAACTATCTAAAAAGTTAGGCTGTTTCTTCTTAACAAACAAAACTTAATTTCAGAAATGGTGACGATTTCTTACACATCCATGGAAAAATCAGCAGACCCTCACTTTAGAGGACCGAATAATTTCTTTTTTTTTTTTAATTATACTTTAAGTTTTAGGGTACATGTGCACAATGTGCAGGTTAGTTACATATGTATACATGTGCCATGCTGGTGTGCTGAACCCATTAACTCGTCATTTAACATTAGCTATTTCTCCTAATGCTATCCCTCCCCACTCCTCCCAACACACAACAGTCCCCAGAGTGTGATGTTCCCCTTCCTGTGTCCATGTGTTGTCATTGTTCAATTCCCACCTGTGAGTGAGAACATGTGGTGTTTGGTTTTTTGTCCTTGTGATAGTTTGCTGAGAATGATGGTTTCCAGCTTCATCCATGTCCCTACAAAGGACACGAACTTATCCTTTTTTATGGCTGCATAGTATTCCATGGTGTATATGTGCCACATTTTCTTAATCCAGTCTATCATTGTTGGACATATGGGTTGGTTCCAAGTCTTTGCTATTGTGAATAGTGCCGCAATAAACATACGTGTGCATGTGTCTTTATAGCAGCATGATTTATAATCCTTTGGGTATATACCCAGTAATCAGATTGCTGGGTCAAATGGTATTTCTAGTTCTAGATCCCTGAGGAATTGCCTCACTGACTTCCACAATGGTTGAACTAGTTTACAGGAGGACTGAATAATTTCAATGTCGCAGTCTCTGTATTGCTACTGTGGAAATGATCATTATGTGCTTCACTGGTGAATATTCATGGAGCTATCTGTAATAACAGATTATTTCCTCCTTTTATATTGCCAAAGTAGTATGTGTATAATGTATCTACTCCCCAGTTACGTCGCAGTTTATCTTTCCTGGTATATTTTTGTCATTTTTGGTTGGCTTTTATAACAGAAAATAAAACAAAGAAAATGGCAGAATAGAAATAAGTATTCTAAAGTATTTATAAAGAATAAAGTGATTTTTTTATTGATTTCTAATTAAATATGGTATTAGTACTATTCACTTGAATTTGTATCTTTATGAAAAATCTGATGTTAATTGTTTTGCATCTTTTTAAAAGATTACAACAATAAAGCAATATTTTAATTCTGAAAAGCTTTAAAGGAAACATTCATTCCATATCAAGTTTTCTGAAAGTAGATTTCACATTGTAATATAAAACAGTATATTCAATTATCAGCATAAACATGTTAGTTCTTCACTAACAAAAATGATAAAAAACTTACAAACATCACTGATAGTATATACTTCAATTTCCTGACAGTTATCCTTTCAAAACTTAAAATATGCAAATTTAAACCAATATGCATTAAGATTACTACATAGTGATTATATAACACTATTGCATTTCATGAAAATTATGTTTAAATGATGCATGGTAGAAAATGGTGATATATTCCAGTTTTAAAACAACTTTTTTATTGAGGTATAATGCACATGCAAAAAAGAACAAAATTCATATGTAAAGTTTAATGGTATTTTCACAAAATAATTACAACAGCATAGCAAGTGCACAGAACAAACAGCAGAATATTTCAGCGTCCTAGAGCCTCCGTTGTGTCTCCTTCCAGTCCATTATTCTTCCCCCAAGTAAGCCCTATTCTAACGTCTAACAGCATAGATTAGTTCTGCCATTTCTGATGTTTTGAATGAAATCAAAAAATAAGCATCGCTTTGTTTCTGGCTTCTTTCATTCAGCATGACGTTTGTGAGATTCATCCATCTTTTGTATAGTGGTGATTCATTTTCATTGATTTGCAGTATTTCACTAAGTGGTTATTATATAATTTATATATTTATCCTCCTGCTGATGTATACTTGAGTTGTTTTTAGATTTTGGACTATTACATAGTGAGTTTCTTCTTAGAAATATTCTTATGTTTTTGTAATTTCATATTAAAACCATATTTGAATTGACAACCAGTTCAGAGCAGTTCATTTTTACATTAAATGAGCCTAAAAGTTAAGTGTCAGTTTCTGGGGGGGTGGAGAGATGGCTGAATAGGAACAGCACCAGTCTACAGCTCCCAGCATGAGCGACACAGAGGATGGGTGATTTCTGCATTTCCAACTGAGGTACTGGGTTCATCTCACTGGGGATTGTCGGACAGTGGGTGCAGGACAGAGGGTGCAGTGCACCAAACATGAGCCGAAGCAGGGTGAGTCATTGCCTCACCAGGGAAGCGCAAGGGGTCAGGGAATTCCCTTTCCTAGTCAAAGAAAGGGGTGACGATGGCACCTGGAAAATTGGGTCACTCCCATCGTAATACTGTGCTTTTCCAACTGTCTTAGCAAGCGGCACACCACGAGATTATATCCCGCACCTGGCTCAGAGGGTCCTACACCCACGGAGCCTCACTCATTGCTAGCACAGCAGTCTGAGATCAAACTGCAAGGCAGCAGCAAGGCTGAGGGAGGGGCTCCCACAATTGCCCAGGCTTGAGTAGGTAAACAAAGTGGCCAGGAAGCTTGAACTGGGTGGAGCCCACCAAAGCTCAAGGAGGCCGGCCTGCCTCTGTAGACTCCACCTCTGGGGGCAGGGCATAGCCATACAAAAGGCAGCAGAAAACTCTGCAGACTTAAATGTACCCGTATGACAGCTTTGAAGAGAGTAGCGGTTCTCCCAGCATGCAGTTGGAGATCTGAGAACAGACAGACTGCCTCCTCAAGTGGGTCCCTGACCCCTGAGTAGCCTAACTGGGTGGCATTCCCCAGTAGGGGCAGACTGACACCTCACACGGCCAGGTACTCCTCTGAGACAAAACTTCCAGAGGAACAATCAGGCAGCAACATTTGCTGTTCACCAATAGCCGCTGTTCTGCAGCCTCCATTGCTGATACTCAGGTAAACAGGGTCTGGAGTGGACCTCCAGCAAACTCCAACAGACCTGCAGCTGAGGGTCCTGACTGTTAGAAGGAACACTAACAAACAGAAAGGACTTCCACACCAAAATCCCATCTGTATGTCACCATGATCAAAGACCAAAGGTAGATAAAACCACAAAGATGAGGAAAAAACAGCAGAAAAACTGGAAACTCTAAAAATCAGAGCGCCTCTCCTCCTTCAAAGGAACACAGCTCCTCAACAGCAATGGAACAAAGCTGGATGGAGAATGACTTTGACGAGTTGAGAGAAGAAAGCTTCAGACGATCAAACTACTCTGCACTAAAGGAGGAAGTTCGAACCCACGGTAAAGAAGTTAAAAACCTTAAAAAAAACTTAAACAAATGGCTAACTAGAATAACCAATGCAGAGAAGTCCTTAAAGGACCTGATGAAGCTGAAAACCATGGCATGAGAACTACATGATGAATGTACAAGCCTCAGTAGCCGACGCGATCAACTGGAAGAAAGGGTATCAGTGATGAAAGATGAAATGAATGAAATGAAGCTAAAAGAGAAGTTTAGAGAAAAAAAGAATAAAAAGAAATGAACAAAGCCTCCAAGAAATATGGGACTATGTGAAAAGACCAAATCTACGTCTGATTGGTGTACCTGAAAGTGACTGGGAGAATGGAACCAAGTTGGAAAACACTCTGCAGGATATTATCCAGGAGAACTTCCCCAATCTAGCAAGGCAGACCAACATTCAAATTTAGGAAATACAGAGAACACCACAAAGATAATCCTTGAGAAGAGCAACTCCAAGACACATAATTGTCAGATTCACCAAAATTAAAATGAAGGAAAAAATGTTAAGGGTAGCCAGAGAGAAAGGTCGAGTTACCCACAAAGGGAAGTCCATCAGAATAACAGCTGATCTCTCCGCAGAAACTCTACAAGCCAGAAGAGAGTGGGGGCCAATATTCAACATTCTTAAAGAAAAGAATTTTCAACCCAGAATTTCATATCCAGCCAAACTAAGCCTCATAAGTGAAGAAGAAATAAAATCCTTTACAGACAAGCAAATGCTGAGAGATTTTGTCAACACCAGGCCTGCCCTAAAAGAGCTCCTGAAGGAAGCACTAAACATAGAAAGGGACAACTGGTACCAGCCACTGCAAAAACATGCCAAATTGTAAAGACCATTGAGGCTAGGAAGAAACTGCATCAACTAATGAGCAAAATAACCAGCTAACATCATAATGACAGGATCAAATTCACACATAACAATATGAATTTTAAATGTAAATGGGATAAATGCTCCAATTAAAACACACAGTCTGGCAAATTGGATAAAGAGTCAAGACCCATCAGTGTGCTGTATTCAGGAAACCTATCTCACGTGCAGAGATACACACAGGCTCAAAATAAAGGGATGGAGGAAGATCTACCAAGCAAATGGAAAACAAAAAAAGGCAAGGGTTGCAGTCCTAGTCTCTGATAAAACAGACTTTAAACCAACAAAGATCAAAAGAGACAAAGAAGGCCATTATATAATGGTAAAGAGATCAATTCAACAAGAAGAGCTAACTATCCTAAATACATATGCACCCAATACAGGAGCACCCAGATTCATAAAGCAAGTCCTTGGACCTACAAAGAGACTTACACTCCCACACAATAATAACGGAAGACTTTAACACCCCACTGTCAACATTAGACAGATCAATGAGACAGAAAGTTAACAAGGACATCGAATTGAACTCAGCTCTGCACCAAGCGGACCTAATACACATCTACAGAACTCTCCACCCCAAATCAACAGAATATACATTCTTCTCAGCACCACACCACACCTATTCCAAAATTGACCACATACTTGGAAGTAAAGCACTCCTCAGCAAATGTAACAGAACAGAAATTATAACAAACTGTCTCTCAGACCACAGTGCAATCAAACTAGAACTCAGGATTAAGAAACTCACTCAAAACCGCTCAACTACATGGAAATTGAACAACCTGCTCCTGAATGACTACTGGGTACATAACAAAATGAAGGCAGAAATAAAGATGTTCTTTGAAACCAATGAGAACAAAGACACAACATACCAGAATCTCTGGGACACATTCAAAGCAGTGTGTAGAGGGAAACTTATAGCACTAAATGCCCACTAGAGAAAGCAGGAAAGATCTAAAATTGACACCCTAACATCACAATTAAAAGAACTAGAGAAGCAAGGCAAACACATTCAAAAGTTAGCAGAAGGCAAGAAATAACTAAGATCAGAGCAGAACTGAAGGAAATAGAGACACAAAAAACCCTTTAAAAAAATCAATGAATCCAGGAGCTGGTTTTTTGAAATGATAAACAAAATTGATAGACAGCTACCAAGACTAATAAAGAAGAAATGAGAGAAGAATCAAATAGATGCAATAAAAAATGATAAAGGGGATATCACCACTGATCCCAAAGAAATACAAACCACCATCAGAGAATAGTATAAACACCTCTACACAAATAAACTAGAAAATCTAGAAAAAATGGATAAATTCCTCAACACATACACTCTTCCAAGACTAAACCAGGAAGAAGTTGAATCTCTGAATGGGCCAATAACAGGATCTGAAATTGAGGCAATAATTAATAGCTTACTAACCAAAAAAAGTCCAGGACCAGAGGGATTCACAGCTGAATTCTACCAGAGGTACAAGGAGGAACTGGTACCATTCCTTCTGAAAGTATTACAATCAATAGAAAAAGAGGGAATCTTCCCTAACTCATTTTATGAGGCCAGCATCATCCTGATACCAAAGTCTGGCACAGACACAACAATAAAAGAGAATTTTAGACCAATATCCCTCATGAACATCAATGCAAAAATCCTCAATAAAATACTGGCAAACCAAATCCAGCAGCACATCAAAAAGCTTATCCACCATGATCCAGTGGGCTTCATCCCTGGGATGCAAGGCTGGTTCAATATACACAAATCAGTAAATGTAATCCAGCATATAAGCAGAACCAACGACAAAAACCACATGATTATCTCAATAGATGCAGAAAGGCCTTTGACAAAATTCAACAACCCTTCATGCTAAAAACTCTCCATAAATTCGGTATTGATGGGACATATCTCAAAATAATAAGAGCTATCTATGACAAACCCACAGCCAATATCATACTGAGTGGGCAAAAACTGGAAGCATTCCCTTTGAAAACTGGTACAAGACAGGGATGCCCTCTCTCACCACTCCTATTCAACATAGTGTTGGAAGTTCTGGCCAGGGCAATCAGGTAGGAGAAGGAAATAAAGGGCATTCAATTAGGAAAAGAGGAAGTCAAATTGTCCCTGTTTGCAGATGACATGATTGTATATCTAGAAAATCCCATCGTCTCAGCCCAATATATCCTTAAGCTGATAGGCAACCTCATCAAAGTCTCAGGATACAAAATCAATGTGCAAAAATAACAATCATTCTTATACACCAATAACAGACAAACAGAGAGCCAAATCATGAGTGAACTCCCACTCACAATTGCTTCAAAGAGAATAAAATACCTAGGAAACCAACTTACAAGGGATGTGAAGGACCTCTTCAAGGAGAACTACAAACCAGTGCTCAATGAAATAAAAGAGGATACAAACAAATGGAAGAACATTCCATGCTCATGGGTAGGAAGAATCAATATTGTGAAAATGGCCATACTGCCCAAGGTAATTTATAGTTTCAATGCCATCCCCATTAAGCTACCAATGACTTTCTTCACAGAACTGGAAAAAAACTACTTTAAAGCTCACATGGAACCAAAAAAGAGCCTGAATTGCCATGTCAATCCTAAGCCAAAAGAACAAAGCTGGAGGCATCACGCTACCTGACTTCAAACTATACTACAAGGGTACAGTAACCAAAACAGCATGGTACTGGTACCAAAACAGAGATAAACACCAATGGTACAGAAGAGAGTCCTCAGAAATAATGCCACATATCTACAACTATCTGATCTTTGACAAAAACAAGAAAGAGGAAAGGATTCCCTATTTATAAATGATGCTGGGAAAACTGGCTAGCCATATGTAGAAAGCTCAAAATGGATCCCTTCCTTACATCTTATACAAAAATTAATTCAAGATCGATTAAAGACTTAAACGTTAGACCTAAAACCATAAAAACCCTAGACGAAAACCTATGCAATACCATTCAGGACACAGACATGGGCAAGGACTTCATGTCTAGAACACCAAAAGCAATGGCAACAAAAGCCAAAATTGACAAATGGGATCTAATTAAACTAAAGGGCTTCTGCACAGCAAAAGAAACTACCATCAGAGTGAACAGGCAACCTACAGAATGGGAGAAAATTTTTGCAATCTACTCATCTGACAAAGGGCTAATATCCAGAATCTACAATGAACTCAAAAAAATTTACAAGAAAAAAACAAACAACCCCATCACCACGTGGGCGAAGGATATGAACAGACACTTCTCAAAAGAAGACATTTATTCCGCCAAAAGACACATGAAAAAATGCTCATCATCACTGGTCAGAGAAATGCAAATCAAAACCACAATGAGATACCATCTCACACCAGTTAGAATGGTGATCATTAAAATGTCAGGAAACAACAGGTGCTGGAGAGGATGTGGAGAAATAGGAACACTTTTACACTGTTGGTGGGACTGTTAACTAGTTCAACCATTGTGGAAGTCAGTGTGGCGATTCTTCAGGGATCTAAGAACTAGAATTACCATTTGACCCAGCCATCCCATTACTGGGTATATACCCAAAGGATTATAAATCATGCTGCTATAAAGACACACACACACAGCTATGTTTATTGCGGCACTATTCACAACAGCAAAACTTGGAACCAACCCAAATGTCCAACAATGATAGACTGGATTAAGAAAATGTGGCACATATACACCATGGAATACTATGCAGCTATAAAAAATGACGAGTTCATATCCTTTGTAGGGACATGGATGAAGCTGGAAACCAGCATTCTCAGCAAACTATCACAAGGACAAAAAACCAAACACCACATGTTCTCACTCATAGGTGGGAATTGAATAATGAGAACACATGGACACAGGAAGGGGAACATCACACACGAGGGCCTGTTGTGGGGTGGGGGCTGGGGGGAGGCATAGCATTAGGAGATATACCTAATGTTAAATGACGAGTTAATGGGTTCAGCACACCAACATGGCACGTGTATACATATGTAACTAACCTTTAAGTTGTGCACATATACCCTAAATCTTAAAGTATAATTTAAAAACAGTGTCGGTTTCTCTAAAATTACAGAGACAATGATCGTTTTCTAGCTTCAAAATAATAAATTGGGATAACTGGCTAGCCATATGCAGAATATTGAAACTGGAACCCTTCCTTATACCATGTATAAAAATTAACTCATTATGTATTAAAGTCTTAAATGTAAAACACAACACTATAAACACTCTTAAAGACAGCTTAGGCAATACCATTTAGGACATAGGCACAGGAAAAATTTCACGACAAAGACACCAAAAGCAGTTGCAACAAAAGCTAAAATTGACAAATGGGATCTAATTACACTAAAGAGTTTACGCATCGCAAAGAAAACTATTAAGAGAGTGAGCAAATAAGTTATAGAATGGGAGAAAATATTTGCAAAGTATGCATCTGATAAAGGTCTAATATCCAGCATCTATAAGAAACTTAAACAAAGTTACCAAAAATAAAAACAAATAACCCCATTAAAAATTGGGCAAAGGACATAAACAGATACGTTTCATAAGAAGACATACATGTGGCCAACAATCATATGAAAAAACGCTGAACATCACTGATCATTAGAGAAATGCAAATCAAAACCAGAATGAGATACCATCTCACACCAGACAGAATGGCTACTATTAAAAAGTCAGAAATAACAGATGCTGGCCACGCTATGCAGTAAAGGAACACTTATACATTGTAGGTGGGAGTGTAAATTAGTTCCACTGTTATGGAAAAGAGTAGTGGGTTGATCCCTCAAAAATCTAAAAGCAGAAATAACATTTGGCCCAGCAATCCCATTTCTGGGTACTACCCTGATATGGTTAGGCTTTGTGTTCTCACCCAAAACCTCATCTTGAATTGCAATTCCCATAATCCCCAAAGTACAATTTTAAAATTCATATTGTAAAGCTAATAGTATTTTCACAAAATAAGTACACTAGCATAGCCAGCACCCAGATGAAAAACCAGAACATTTGACCATCCTTGAGGCTCTTTGTGCCTTCCAGTCATTATACTTGCCCCAAGTAAGCCCTATTCTAATGTCTAACAGCATAGACATCTAGATGTTTTGAAACAACAAAAATGGTAGAACTAATCTATGCTGTTAGGCATTAGAATAAGGCTAATAGGACATAATCCCCATGTGTCAAGGGAGAGACCAAGTGAAGATAACTGAATAATGGGGGCGGTTTCCCCCTTGCTGTTCTCATTATTCTGAGTAAGTTCTCATGAGATCTGATGGTTTAATAAGGGACTCTTCCCCCTTCGCTCAGCACTACTCCTTCCTGCCACCTTGCGAAGAGGTGCCTTGCTTCCCCTTCAACTTCGGCCATGATTGTAAGTTTCATGGGGACTCTTCAGCCATGCTGGACTGTGAGTCAATTGAATCTGTTTCCTTTATATTACCCAGTCTGGGGAAGTTCTTTATAGCAACATGAAGATAGACTAATACATATGCAAAGGAATATAAATCATTCTATTTTAAAGACTCATGTACACATATTCATAGCAGCACTACTTATAATAGCAAAGACATAGAATCAACACAAACACCCATCAATGATAGACTGGATTTAAAAAAATGTAGTTCAGATATACCATAGAATACTATGCAGCCATAAAAAAAGAATGAGACCGTGTCTTTTGCAAGAACATGGATAAGCTGGAGGCAATTATCCTTAGCAAACTAATATAGGAACAGAAAATCAAATACTGCATGTTCACACTTACAAGTGGGAACTAAATGATAAGAACACACAAACACATACAGGGGAACAACATACACTAGGGCCTATCAGAATGCGGTGGGTGGGAGAAGGGAGAGGATCAGGAAAAGTAACTAATGATTACTAGGCTTAATACCGGGGTGATGAAATAATCTGTACAACAGTCCCCCATGACACAAGTTTACCTATGTAACAAACCTGCACTTACACTCCAAACCAGAAATAAAAGTAAAAAAATTATATTTCCAAAGATTAGAGAAATAATATTTGAAGAACATAGATATATGTTTCTTTTAAAGTGTTAAAAACATAGTATAAGAGGGAAATTTACACTTTTATAAAGTCTGCATATAGCTAAGGAAATAATTACCAAGCATTTTACCCAATAGACTATTGAGTAAAAATGTCCATGCACAATCTAATGCATGACTGTTTAACATTGGGGAAAATATGTTTACATTTTATCTCTTTATACATTATTAAATATGTACAATTGTTTAATGCAAAGTGGATAGAAAATACAACACATATTTGGATGCTAAAATAAACCAAAGATCGATTTGCAAATGTTAATTCATTGTTGTTTTAATAAAACTAATGTAATTCACATGTATATTAACTACAATATATTTTGGACCAAACCATTTCTGCTTTTCAAACACTGTTCAAATGCAGTATGCTATGAATGACTAGCAGACTTGCTAATTATAATTTTTAAAATAATTCTGTACTTACAAGTAGAACGTACTATCCACTTCTAATGAATGTTTGAAAAAATAGTAGTCATTTTTTGTGAGGGAAGAGGAATTTCCTTTTATAGAATTTGAGTCGTTTCACTTTATTTATTGTCTCTGGTATACTGAGTGACTTAGTGAAACGTTTCTTCGTTTTATACTTCTTTTTTGTTAACATACAGACAATTTTCTCTCTCAACCAGTAAGTTATTCATTATCCAATAAAAATCTACTATATTTTCTAAAGCTAGTCAAATGCTACAGTATAATCTTGGTTTTCAAGTGCTGCAGTTTTGCTAGTGATTAGATGCCCGTATACAGTCTAATTACAAAAGAAAATAACATTTATGAAAATGAGCTTCATCTAGGACAAGTTCATGCAGGAAATTGGTCTCTTGAAGAATGAAAGTGAAATATAAAACAGAGGGAGTTCAGATAAAAGTTATATTTAGGATAATCTTGAAAGACATGTGTGCCTTGTGAATGCATAGATGGAGATCTGGAAAAAATGTAGGTTGTTATCAGACAAAAACGTAACAATAATAATAATAGTTAGTGCCCAGAATAGCAATAAAACACAAGTTTTCTAATTGTCGTATTTCACTATTCCCCTCCTTATACTAGGAAGGTAAACTTTCCAAGTTATTTTCCAGATGATTCTTTCACAGAACCAAGGTGAGGAGACAAAGTAGCAAATGTCTGTAATATATTTCAAACTTGATATTCACAAAACTTTTATCATGAAAAACCAAACATTTTTTCATACATACTCAGAAGTTTTATGAGAAGTACAGAAATTTTAAAGTCAAGATTCATATTTTCATTTATTTTATTAATATTGATGATTATTCACCATCAAAATATAATCTTAAACCACAAAGTTATCCTCTTTAATAAATCAAAATTAGGATCAATACTCTACTTGTATATAAGGAAGTAAAACAAATCTTCTATACTTTTATAGAAGTTTCTATTCTAGGTTCCAAATTGGTGTCATGGATAAGATACAATGTATTTATTGATGTCATGGGTAAATTACAACTCATCTGTGATTCCCACCAAGTTATGTGTAAACATACGTGTAAATGTGTATTTATGCACTTTTTTTGGAACCACTGCTTTTATAAAGTCTCAAACTTTAAGAAATCATAGTTGTATATTCACAATTCTTAAAGAGTTTGTTTTCGACATCTCTATAACTCATTGCCTCTACAATTAAATAATATCACAAAATTTAAATACCACTCAACAAATGTATCAATTTTTAAAAATCAGAATAATGTTAAAACATTTCATATTAAAGTACTTCTTGAAACTCTATTGACATAAGTGTTTTTTGCTGATTTGTACCTGGTAATGACTATAATAACAACTTTCTTTATATATATTATGGAATAAGGTATCTTTTAAATGATAAACATTTTTTTTCTGTACATATCAAAACACTATCTGTGTAACTAAAATGCATAACAATTACCATCAGGACGTATGGGAAATACATTTTACAAATAGTGTGTTGCAGCTAAGGTTCCAAAATGCTACCTATCTCTAATGTAATACCTTAGTGTCTCTCTTGCTTACAAGATCTATTTTTCACTTTCAGACTTGAGGGCATATTTGTTTAGCTTCTTGACCTTTTTGCTGCTGAACAGATGAACATCATGTGTAGTATACCCTTCTCTTTTACGAAGTTAAAAGCTCATATATCCTTGTAGAAATGTAAAAATTGTTTCATTTTACTTTGGAAAACCTAAGAAGACTGAAATATAATATCCTGTATAGATTAAATAAAACTTCTTCAAGAAAGTGTTTTGTCTTCAGCAATAATATAGTAAAGTACATGACAGACATGATAACATAAAAATATTATCTTCTATTATTTATGAAAAAATTCTTATCATTCCCCAAATATAAAATATGGGCCAATAACATGCTGATAAAGTAGGCATCTTTATGTCCAAATTATTATTAAGCCATAAACAGGAAAAACTGGAAGCTTGTGTTGACTATATTTTGTTATCTCTAATACTATTTGTGATAAACCTTAAGAATTAATACCACAAGGGATTTATTGTTGCTGCATGTTTTTATCCTAAATTCACATGAACAACTAGGAAAAAATTGTTCTTGTAAAAAAAAAAAAGGCATTTATTTGCCAATACTTGAAAGCAAGTCTCTATTTATTGCTTAAGGTTATTTGATTTAGAGATGCAGTTCTGTATTAAGGTGGTACATTTAAAAAAGAAAACCACAGATGGAACATATTATTTCCACAATATATTTTCTTCATGACACACCAGCAATTGTTTTGTGGTCCTAAAATCCCTGTATAAATTTGTTTTGTTAAAAAAAAAAGATATGCACAAATGACATAGTATTTGTTTTATCATGGCAGTCCAACAATACAGCATACACGTGGTAAGAATACTACTTCAGCAACTGTTATACCTAACTACCTGCAGAAATAAATATCCACTATGTGTTGCACACTTTAAGTGTTTTTGTTACACAGGTAAGTTGTCCTTCAGAAAAGTGGTAACAATTTATATTATAAATGCCCCTCTAAATTCTTCGCAAAGAAAAGGTAAGTAGAACACTTTAATGTCAATACCTGTATGAAATGTATGGTCCTTTTGAAAATATACCATTTTTATTATAAATGAATACTAAATACAATAATTTGTATTTTAATTAAAGTTGCTTTCAATCCTTTCCAAAAAACAATAAATGAATACTTCATCTAGTTAGCACTGTTCGGCACATGGTGGGCAGTTAAAAATTACTTACTATGTGGATGAATCAATCCAATAATGAAAAAAGAAATAAACAGATACAGTGGAAAACATGAGAAAAATAGTCTCATTATTTGTCCTATTATATACTGATATTCAACGTGCAGTATTTGTACTCTATTCAAACTATATCAACTGTATCAGAAACTAGTATAACAAATATTCGTAAAACATATGGAGTTGGTCCTCCATATCCATGAATTCATAGATGGAAAATATTTTTTTAATTGTGTTTGTACTGAACATGTACAGACTTTTTCTTGTCATTATTCCCTAAATAATACATTATGACAACTATTCACATGACACCAACATTGTATTAAGTATTATAAGTGAGCTAGAGATGATTTAAAGTATACAGGAGTATATGCATAGGTTATATGCAAGTGCCACACCATTTTATATCAGGGACTCAAGCATCTGTAAATTTTGGTGTATGAAAAGAGGTCCTAAAACCAGTCCCCCAAGGATACCAAATGGCAGCCACACTCTGAAAAAATAGATTGTACTCAACTTTTGAAAATTCTCATTGTATTTAGCACTACCTTCTCCTCCCTTGACAAAGCCTCAGTACAGTTCCTTATCTCTCAACTGCATCATTCAAAGAAATCTTAGTGGCCTACTGTCTCTACAAAAATGTTCTAGAATTATTTTTTAAATCAAATAAAATCATGTAAATCAAATGCTTAATTACCACTATTGGCTCTCTATGGGAAATCTGGAGGTTCTAAATCTCCACAGACATCGTAATCCTATGAAGATCATTACAAATATATGAACTGAAGTAATTGGCACCTCAGATCTGCTCAGCAGGTTCTCTGGGGGATTGGGCTGGAAGTGGTGCAGCAGTCTGTAATTGTAAAATCTTCCCAGGTGATTCTGATTAAGTCCTGAGCATTTACTTTTTTTTTTTATTTTTATTTTTTTCAAACCACTCCTATAGGGTAAATCCTATTGCTCAATTCTGGTCATCAATGCTCTTCCAAATGATTATGTCCACATCATCCATCCTATATTATAATGGCTTTAAATTTCTCACCAAACACTGAGTACAGCCTTCATTTTCATACCACCAAGCCTGGAAATCCTTTCCTCCTTTCCTCTCTTTTGGTTAACTCCTGTTTCTCCTAAAATACCACAACTTCTTTAATTAGGACTAATGGAGGACTTCCTTAATTTCTCCTAGGTAAAGTAAGTGTCTAAGTCTTCTGTGTTTAGAAGAAATTTGCTTTCTTTTAACAATTCCAACCTCATATTTATAATTTATTATTTTGTATGCCTTGCTCTTTGGTTAAGCTATGAGTTCCTTAAGGACATAGAGCATGATCTATTGAAATTTTTAACATAAAAAATGCTTTAAAAATAGGTGCTTAATTAATGGGTTTTAAAATAACAGAAGGCATTAGCAAATAATGTTAAAGTTATCACTATAGACATCCCAAGGAGCTCTGAATTCCTGTATAAGACACATTTTTACACTTTGAATATTAAAATATTAAGGCAATAAAATGGTACATGATGGTGACCAATCATCCAAGTATCCCTGCAACTGAGGAGTTTCCTAGAATGTGGAAATTTCAATCCTGGAATCAGGACAGCGTTAGGCAAATGGGAGTGGTTTAAAATTAAAGCCATAATCAGAGGTTTTGCTACTATGTAAAAAATATTTTAGAAGATATATATTAGATTTGCCTTTTCTCCAGTATTTAAAATATTAATTGATTTCAAATTGAGGGAAGGTGTTTATAATGGAATAGCTACTTAAAAATATGTGAAAAAGTGCTCTTTTATTAGAGATATATAGGAGAGATGGCTATCGCAAAACAAGTTTTGGTTTGCTAAAGCATTTCTTGAAAAAAAAAAAGAAAAAAACTAACTTTATTGCATGTTTTCACAGTTCTATGATAGTGTAGATTAATTCAACCAGTAAACTTTTTATCTGAATTCTTGTATATATGGCTAGATTAGGACACTAATTACTTAAAATAAAAAATAATTCTTTTAAAGATATGATAAGGTATATCACTCTTACCAAGCTCTATTTTGAAAAACAAGTATATAATTTAAAATCTGCCAAACATATTAAAATCAGAATAATCATCAGTTTTCAAGAAAATTGAACAATCAATTAATGTGAATTTATAATCTTTTACTCAGCAAATTTATTTCTCATATCACTTTCATGACAATGAGCTTCTATTCATAGTCTCATCCATTTTGTTGAAGACAATTGATGAAGATATAAGGACAGCCTCAAAGGTGCCTGACGAATTGAAGGGAAAGTGCAGGTAGCCAGTGAAGGATTAAGACAACCTAACAACTCTGTTGACGTGCTAAAAGAAAAGTATGTCTGTTCATAAATATTACAGGTTTTGACAGAAATTTAATTTTCCAAAATAAATTAGAATTTTTTATATAACTATTCTCTTTAAGAATTCATCTATAACATGCTGTTTAGAATCAGATACTATAAAATTTATTTTGAATCTAGCAAAGTGTGCTACCTGTTAGTACTTTTTTTTCATATTTTTTGTTTAGTAATGGCTGCTTTTTTTTTTTTTTTTTTTGAGATGGAGTCTTGCTCTGTCGTCCGGACTGGAGTGCAGTGGCACGATGTCGACTCACTGCAAGCTCCGCCTCCCAGGTTCACGACAAGTAATGGTCACATTTTTAACGCTAATATTTTTCTAAGAAAGCTCTATCTTGCTTTTCAGTGTCTTTGTGCTACTACAAAATAAGAACTCTAATTTTTACTTCTATATTTCAGCAGTTACCATAATGTTACTCATAATGTGTACTCAGTGGATGTGTAGAGTAGGAATAATTTATTGTTAAAATAGTTGATGCTATAATTCAATCAATACAATTATACTGAATATTTTACATGTAAAAGGAAACTAGTACTTATCTCTGATGAATTACTGTCAATAAAAAAACTATTAACAAAATCAGATTAGGAATGCATCTGATAGACATTAGTCCCTACATTAAGATCTGCATGAGAATAGCTAGTGAATCTCACAATGCTTAGCACTGAGATTTTCATGAAAAACTTACTGTGTTTTTAGATAATAAGGAAAATCAAGTTTTTGTTTTGTTTTGTTTGAGATGGAGTTTCCCTCTTGTTGCCCAGGCTGGAGTACAGTGCCATAGTCTCGGCTCACTGCAACCTCTGCCTCCCGGATTCAAGCGATTCTCCTGCCTCAGCCTCCTGAGTAGCTGGGATTGTAAGCGCACCCTAACACATCCAGCTAATTTTTGTGTTTTTGTAGAGACAGGGATTCACCATGTTGGTCAGGCTGGTCTCGAACTCCTAACCTCAGGTGATCTGCCCATGTCGGCCTCCCAAAGTGCTTGGATTACAGGTATGAGCCACCGTGCCCAGCTGAAAATTTAAGTTTTTAAAGAAAACATTTTAAGGCCAGGTGTGGGGGCTCATGCCTGTATTCCCAACACTTTGGGAGGCTGAAGCAGGCGGATCAACTGAGGTCAGGAGTTCAAGACCAGCCTGACAAGCATGGAGAAACCCATCTCTACTAAAAATACAAAATTAGCCAGGTGTGGTGGCACATGCCTGTAATCCCAGCTACTCGGGGGACTGAGGCAGGAGAATTGCTTGAACCTGGAAGGTGGAGGTTGAAGTGAGCCAAGATCGCGCCATTGCACTACAGCCTGGGAAACAAGAGCGAATATCTGTCTCAAAAAAAAATTTAAAACTGGAATGGACTATATGGTTTCTAGGACAGGTAGATAATATTCTAAGAGGTACCAAATACCTACCTATAGAAACAAATGATCCTTGTCCTCTACAGAGTTGCTGCTAAAGTGAGAGGAGTGCAGGACAGATGAGACAATGAATATGCACACTTATACTTTACATTAAGACAAGGGAAGAATGAATGTCTGGCTCTTTCTTGTACTTGTCTTAATTTTTTTAAAAAAGTTAATAAATAAAATGTAAAGAATGATCTGGAATGGAAAAACGGGGCATATACTGGTTGATGATCATGAAGTTTGGCTCATTTAAGGAAGTACTATAAAAACAAATTCCATTAATAAAATACCTTTGTATTCTTATGGAGCAAACAAGAAGAAGTGTGCTACATACAGTACTTAAACTTTTATGTACCTATGAAACACCTGGGGATCATAAGATGTTGATTCTCGTTGAGTACGTCTGGTGTGGGGCCTCATATTCTGCACTCCTAACAAGCTCCAGAGTGAAGCTATGCTGCTAGTCCAAGGCCAACACTTTGAGTAGTAAACTGTAAAATTGAGATTAATCTAAGTCAAGGAAAAATAAAACACCAGAGGATTTTGTTCTAGGGGAAAAGGCTTAAAGTCCTAGTAGTTATTAATGGAGGTGCCTGTAGTCCCAGCTACTCGTGTGGCTGAGGCAGGAGAATCGCTTGAACCCAGGAGGTGGAGGTTGCAGTGAGCCAAGATCACACCACTGCACTCCAGCCTGGGTGACAGAGTGAGACTCTGCCTCTAAAAAAATAAATAAATAAATGATAAGTAAAGTCCTAAAAGTGTCTTTTTTAAGGATGAAAGGGCTGGGTTCCCTTGTAGTTTAGAAACTAAAGGGGCACAGAGGCCAAGAGAGCTCTATGAAGTTTCCTAGAGTAAAGACAGATTTAAGTATAAGCCTGAGGGGCATGAAAGCTGCTTCCACCAAAGTGCTAAAATTCAGCTCTCCTTTGGCTCTGAGCTCAGCTCAGAAGTGGCAAAATTCTTGAAAGGCTTAAAAATCTGCGTAGAGATGTGTAAGCTAGTAAAAGCTCTGCCTAGAGCACATACATAAAAGCACAGCAAGAACACCAGTTATACTGTCTGGTGTTAATTGGCAATATTGTCTTTAATTAATCCTGGTTCAAGGGAAGCTTCAGGTCTACAGATTTCTAAAATCCAAATTGTCAAATAATCAAATTTTCAAATAATCAATTTGAATAATCAAATTGTCACTAAAAATACTTACATATTCAAAAGAGGCACTATGTTTATTTTTCTACAATATTTGCTTTGACTAAATGTAGCTAATCTGTACCAAACATAAACTATTCACCTCTCAGTGTAAGACTAGTATATAAATTAACTCTCCAATATTTTTATTCACATTTTCTACCCCCTACACCCATTTGTGATTGATAAAACCAAGAATTAGTATTTATAATTAACTTTAAGTAATATGCATATTAAGACTTAATTATAGAGCGAACTCAGTACTGAAATTAATAAATTAATTAGAAATTCATCACTAAAAGTGTCTTGCTCACAGTTTACCTTAAATCTCTATTGCAAACTTTGAGTCCTCTGATTGTCTGATTGTAGCAATACCTCCCAGCAGCTACATTAATTACAAACTTGATGTATTCAACAATCAAATCAAATTTAAGATGTGAGTTCTAGACTTTCATTGCCCAATATTGGAGCTTCTAGCCCCATATGAGTATTTAAATTTAAATTAATTGAAAGTAAATACAATTAAAAAATTAATTTCCTCATCAAATGAGCTACATTTGAAGTGCTCAGTAGCCATCAATAGCTGGTAAATACCATATTGGACAGCATACTCCTCTATATGAACACTTCCAGAACATTTCAAACATCAGAACAATTATCTATTGAAAAATTCAATCATATTTTAATGTTTACAGATCTCCTATGCATTTGTAAATTTTTAAACAATGTAGTTATTTAGTTTATTACCTAACTCTATCCTCACAATCATATGAAAATTTTAACGTTATTATATTTTATAAATTAGAGTCATGTTGATTTTTTTAGAGCCACAGCTGAAGTTAAAGACTTTAGGAACTTAAAACTTGTGTGTGGAATTAATTTATTCAATGGGATATAAAATTCAGTCCCCATTTCTGTCTTGGGTGGGATGAATCAAATTTTTAATTAGAGTGGCACTAACTTTCAGTAATCCACTTTACCATCTAATATATGATCGTCAGTACCATTGAAAATTTTTGTCCTTAGGGGAAATAAATATCATTTCTTAATTAAGTAGGGAAATTAGTAAAATCTCTATATAGCATTTGTTTTGAAAAAGGATCACTGTCACTTAACTAATCAGTAGCTCAGTATTCCTAAAAGGTCACAAGAGACTGCTTATATTGATGTAGCAAATTGCCACCTTGAATTGTTCAGCTAACAATTTTAAAAGCCATTACATTTAAGGATAGTAAAATTAGATTAACATGATCTACTATAATATTTCTTTCCACCAGAATTCATGCTAAAGTCATAAAGCTTTATGGACCACTCATCTCAATTGCTCTGTTGATATGATAAAATCTCCTCTTCATTAATCTAAAGTTCTTTCTCTGTAATTCATAAATGTATTCTTTCTTTGGTTCCATCCATTGTCATTGCTCCCCTGAGCTGATTCCATTTCACATCATTCATTTCTTAATTTGTTTGGCCCTTGAAGTTTTATTACCTATCACTTTATCACATCTAATTTATATAAGCATTATTTTTGAGGTCTGGCCTAATTATTTTTCTTATTTTTCTTCTATTTCTCTCCTGCATACTTTTACATCGACTTTATATTAGAAACTCTGTTGCCACAGTCACCCTATGGGCTTCATGCTCTGGCTGCTAAATGCTTATGTACTCTTTTGTGGCAATAAAAAGCAGCAATATCCAAACTCACAGTACACTTCTGAAAACAAGGATGTTTCATATCAAGTTATTAAATCAGTAATAACTGTGAGTGCAAAATAAATATCAAGATAATATTTACATTTATTGAAAATAAATATATTTTATTTATTTTATTATTTATTTATATAAGGTATTAAAATTATCTTCATATTTGGGTATGTATGTGTAAAAAATTACAAGCTAATGCTTTGAAACTTAAACTTTTATGAGTATACAGGAGTCATTAAAATGATATGAAGAAAAAATTTTGAAAAAAGGCCATACATTAATATTATATTCAATTTAATTGAATATGCTTTTATTAAATTCCAAGGAATTATTCTAGAACCAAATTTAAAGTTGAAAGTGAGGAAAAGAGAGAGGTTAGTGACAATTCCAGGTGAAAGAGCCTGTGTGACAGACAGAATATAGTACTATTCTTAGAAATAAGAAAAGAAACTGCATTGAGTTGAATCGTAGTGATGATTAAACAGAATCAAAGATGAGAATGATGTTTAGATAAACGGTCATAAGCATAGATACTTCCCTCTATGATAGATCTCTCTCCAACACCCTCCCATTGTTTACTTACCTATTGCCTCCAATTTATACTATGAGCACATTGAGGAGAGAGAAGTGCGGTATGTAAATCAGATTTTATCTCTAATGCCTTGATTCTTGCCTGGCAACTACTTGTTTCTGTGTAATAATTCGATGACATTTTTAGAGAAATTAGTAGACTTATCAACTCGCCTCAAACAAAAATACTGTGCCTTTTAAAATTTTTTAATTTTCTGATGGAGAGAAACATTTATAATAAATTATTCCCATTAAAAATCCCAAGAGCCAGAAATTACTGGGGTTCACCACGGATCTAAATTTTATTCCTAGCCAAAAATAATTATTCATGGTTTTTAAGGCTTGACATTTAACCATTTGAAATTTATTCCTGTGGGTTCCTCCAGGTTAAAATGCAGGTAACTCATTAAAAAGTCAAAGAAATATTCTTAATGTGTGGGTATTGAATCCTTTGCTAAGATTAAGTCTGACAAAGAGAAATGTGCACAGGAGAAGTAAGAAAAAAGGTTATGGAAAATCTAGGAGCATTGGATATTAATTTACTTACTTTGCAATTTTATAAAAACCTAAGAACCCACATAGTATCTGCCTGAGTTCACATTGTTATTTCAGCCTTCATTTTATTCATTTAAAATGTTGTGGGTTTTTTTTTTCCCTTCAAGATGGCAGATTAGATGACATGAACAAATGGGAAAAATATCCCATGCTCATGAATCAGAAGAATCAGTATCGTTAAAATGACCACACTGACTAAAGCAGTCTTCTGATTCAATGCAATTCCCATTAAAATTACAATGTAATGTTTCACAGAATTAGGAAAAAAAATCCTAAAATTAATATGGAACCAGAAAGGAGCCTGAATAACCGAAGCGATCCTAAGCAAAAAGAAAAAATCTAGAGGCATCACATTACCTGACTTCAAATGATGCTATGAGGTATAGTAACCAAAATAGCATGGTACTGGTATAAAAATCAACACATAGATCCATGTGTTAACCACTAAATAAAATCAACACATAGATTTTTGTCACTAGATAAAAATCAAAATATAGATCACTAGAACAGAGAATCCAGAAATGAAGCCATAGACCTACAGTCAACTGCTCTTTGACAAAGTCGACAAAAACATATGTTGGGAGAATTACACCCTATTCAATAAACGGTACTGGGAATATTGGACTGCCATGTCTAGAAGGATAAAACTGGACCCCTACATCTCACATATACAAAGATAACTCAAGATGGATTAAAGACTTAAATGTAAGACCTGTAACTATAAAAATACTAGAAAAGAATCTAGGAAAAACTGTTCTGGTCATTGGCCTAGGCAAAGAATTTATGACTGAGACCTGGAAAGCAAATGTAACACAAACAAAACAAGACAAATGGAACTTAAACTAAAAAGTGTCTTCATAGCTAGTAGAAGACAAATAGCAAAGATCAGAGCAGGACTAAATGAAAAAGAAACCAAAAAAATTACAAAGAATCAACAACACAAGAAATTATTTGAAAGGATGAACAAAACTGATAGACCACTAGCTACATTAAGCGAGAAACAATGAGAGAAGATTCAAATAGACACAATCAGAAATGAAAAAGAAGACATTACAACTGATACTAGAGAAATGCTAAAAATCCTCAGAGACTACTATGAATATCTCTACACTCATAAACTAAAAAACTTAGAGGAAATTAATGAATTTCCAGAAATATGTAACTTTTCAAGCATGTAGAAGGAAGAAATAGAAATCCCAAATAGAATATTAGGTTAGTGCAAATGTAATTGTGGTTTCTGCTGTTTCTTTCAATGGCAAAACCACAATTACTTTTGCACCAAAATAGTAAGTAGTGAGGTTAAATCTGTACTAACAAATATATAAACAAACAAACAAAGCCCAGGAACAGATGGATTCATACTTGAGTCCTACCAAACATACAAAGAACTGATACCAGGCCTATTAAAACCGTTCTTGAAAATTGAGCAGTAAAGAATCCTCTCCAGCACATTATACCAAGCCAATATCACCCTGATACAAAGCAAGACAAGGACACACACACACACACACACAAAAAGATAATATAGATCAGTATTTCTAGTAAACATACATGCAAATATCCTCAACAAAACACTGTATCCAACAGCACATCATAAAATAAAATAAAATACACCATGATCAAGTGGGTTTTACTCCAGGAATGCAAGGATGGTTCAACATATACAAATCAATAAATGTGATTCACTGCATAAACGTAATTAAAAACAAAAATCAAATGAAACTATAAATATTCTAGAAGAAAACCTAGGAAAAACTCTTTTGGACATTGGCCTAGGTAAATAATTTATGACTAGGACCTCAAAAGCATATGAAACCAAAACAAAACTAGACAAATATGACTGAATTAAACTAAAAAGCCTCTGCACAGCAAAAGTTATAATCATAGAGTAAATAGACAACCTACAGATTGGGTGAACATATCTTTAAACTATGCAACTGAAAAATACTAACATCCAGAATCTACAAGCAACTCAGTGCAACAACAAGCATATGAAAAATTGCTCAGCACCACTTACCATCTGAGAAATGAAAATTAAAACCACAAGATAGCCATCTTACATAAGTCAGAATGGCTATTACTAAAAAGTTAGAAAATAACAGATTTTGGCAAGGATGTGGAGAAAAGTGAATGCTTATACACATTTGGTGTGAATGTAAATTAATACAACATCTATGGAAAACAGTATGGAGATTTATCAAATAACTAGAGATAGAACTACCATTCAATCCAGCATCCCACTATGGGGTATCTAATCCCCCCGCTAAAAAAAATTATTGTATAAAATATACCTGCATTCACGTTTGCAGCAGGACTCTTCACAATAGCAAAGATATGGCATCAACCTAAGTGTCTAAAACAGATGACTGGATAAAGAAAATGGGAAATACACACACACACAGACGAATACTACTCAGTCATAAAACATGAAATCATGTCTTTTGCAGCAGCAATATGGATGAAACTGTAAGGCATTATCTTTTTTTTTTTTTTTTTTTTTTTTTGAGACGAAGTCTCACTCTGTCGCCCAGGCTGGAGTGTAGTGCCGTGATCTTGTCTCACTGCAAGCTCCGCCTCCCAGGTTCATGCCATTCTCCTGCCTCAGCCTCCGGCGTAGCTGGGACTACAGGCACATGCCACCACGCCTGGATAATTTGTTTTTTGTATTTTTAGTAGAGATAGGGTTTCACCGTGTTAGCCAGGATGGTCTCGATCTCCTGACCTCATGATTCACCCGCCTCGGCCTCCCAAAGTGCTGGGATTACAGGCGTGAGCCGCCGTGCCTGGCCTGGAAGCCATTATCTTAAGTGAAATAACTCAGAAACAGAAATTGAAATACTTCATGTAATCACTTATAAGAGGAAGCTAAATCATTGCACACATGGACATATAGTATGAAATAGCAAACACTGGGTGGGAAGGTGAGAGGAGGGTAGGAGATGAGAAATTACTTATGGATACAATGTATACAGTTCTGATGAAGGTAAATTAAAAGCCTAGATTCCGCTGTGACACAATATGCCCATGTAACAAAACTGCACTCGTACCCCCTAAATTTATACAAAAAAGTAGATAAAACGTTAAATGATTGTCTCTGCCCCTAGCTTCCTGCAATGTGCTGTAAACTGAGAAACCAGAATGATCTTGTTAAAAGCCACTTTGTGTCACTCAGAGTCTGTTAGAGTTTTCACACCTAAATAAGAATTAAAGTTGACAATGACCTTTCATATTGTATTCCTACCCATCTTTCTCTAACCTCACCTTTCCCTGCTATTTTCACTATTTACCCTTCAGCTGGTCCTGAAAGTCATCAGGCACATTTTCAAATTTACATCCTTTCCCCTCCATCTCTAGAACACTCCTCTCCCATCTAATTTCTTGACCATTCCCTCACCTCCTTGACGAGGGCTAGGACTAATTACAAGCAACTCTCCTCCATAAACCTGATCTTTGTGACCCTGTTCTTTATCTATAGGAATTACCATCTTCATCTTCCATCAGGCTATAAAATGTGTTTATTCATTATGTTTATTGCTATTATTGTTCTCTCTCTTCCACAAAAGTAGAGATATCCTTTGTTTCATCAACTTAGGTACAAGCAAAAACCCACAGCAAATATTGTTTATTGATGGCTTTCATTTTGCACAATAGCATTCAACATTGTTTTTGCTTATTTTTTGGTCTGAAGATCTGAAGATCATAGTGTTCTTCTTGTTTGTAAAAAATGTAAATGAATAAAACAAAATAACAAACAATTAAAGAACTCTGACTATTAAATCAGTTAATGCATCTTGATACAGGCTTAGGAAATACCAAGTCCTGTTGAATAACTAGAATGCACAGGGTTTATCCTAGGTTATATAATGGAAGTAGCTCAAGACTGATATTACTTCTCAGAAATTCAACCACTTGTGAAAATGACTTAGGATGCTTCCTCAGAATATGCCTTGTTGGAAGCCTGTATCCTGGTGAATACTTTCCAAGACAATGAACCAGAAAAATAAAAACATAATATAGCTAAATTTTTTCGGAAAACTGAAAAAGAAATATGCAAACAAGCAAATAAAGGGAAAACAAAAGACAGATTTACAAACATACAAGAAAAATATAAACTAAAAACAATTATAAAAGAATAATGTTTATAGATTATATAAAGTATAAATTACTCCTATTATTAAAATTAACGTGTTTGACCATTTAACAGAATTGAATTCAAAATTTTATTCTTTTCAAAATGCTACTCTGTCAAACATAAATCTAAACAATCATCTTTTATCAGATATACTGATGTTAAATTTTGATATTGAAGATGCTTTAATATGATTTTATATACACAAACTTATTTCACTATACAGCTATAATGTTATGTTGTGTAAAACTCTTTGTAATTGGAAAAGTCTATACAAAATTAAAGTTATTGTTACTATTAATTTTTTAACATGTTTCTTCTAATTGCCTTATTTTGTATCAGATTTAGAGTAGAAAAATAATGGGAAAACTGCTTTCGAGTAACCATGCACATTTCCCATTGAAACCTGTTAAAGGTTACACATGAGTATAAAAGGATGGTATTTGGCCCATAATGTGCTCAAGATCTAATTTACAGTATCTGTAAGCGCTACATTAGTAATAATAATCAAAGCTCAGAGGATTGGCAATTTTGCTGAAGCATCCAGATTTTTAAAATCTGAACTACCCAAACTTTTGAAGGCTCTCTCCTTTTTCTCTCCTCTTCTGCAATCATCCAATTAAAAGACCCTTTTCCCCTGATGCAAAGCAGTGTAATTTCACAGAAGTTTTATGCTACATTTAACAGCTCAGGGTTTTAAGCTAATAAAAAATAGACTTTGAAGAGACAAGAATATACAGTATATGTTTGGTAGCAACATGAAATATCTTCTATTACCATTAGAGGAAAATGAAATTGTATTTCATGGTTTGCTGCTTTTAGAAATCATTGGGAAAAATAGTGTTATTTGTTTCAAGTCTATCAGAGCTAGGTTCTATATATGGTTAAAAATGGATGTGTAACTATATTTCTTTGTTTTTCTGGCAACTGAAAACTTTTAGGGACTAAATGTTTATGTTCTCATTTTGCTGGGTACGGGGAAGAAAGGATGGATATGCGTCTTTTCTTTTAGGGATGTTCACTGAAATTCTTTTTCATGCAGTCAGGACATTGATATATCCCATGTATTTTCAACAAAATGATCAGTGAGAAATAACTAGAATATATGAAAAATAATTGTGTGGGTTTGAACTTGTTTTGTATTTTCTTATATATTATCTACAACTTTTTTTTAACTTACAATTTTTCAGATGAAGTAAAAATTAAAATGTAAAGAAGATGTAGTGTTGGATACGTGAATCTCTTCCTAAGCTGGAAAAGTGTATATGTTTGCTTAGCCAAAATTTAGCATCCTAAATCATCTTAGCTTATGCTCATAACTGTTGTACTTCATTCCTATGTGATCTTAGGAGAATAATCATATAATTTCTTTGTGGCCTTTTTCCCAGTTTTCCATTTCAAGGGAACTGCTATCTGCTTACAAAAGAATTAGGGACAGAGTTAATGAGGTTTCATTTCATTTCCTTTTTTCGTTGTGTTCCAGCAATATTTCCAAGCCTCTCCAAACTTATAAAGTAATACATTTCCTATATAGTTACACACTTGAATGACTTTCTCAAATTAGGGAAGACCCCCTACTCCAAGTTCAAATTTGGCAGTGAAAGATTTTCTGTTTACAATAACTATTCTGCAATGCAACTAAGGAAGCCAGGGCACCCACGTGTAAGTCCTGCTGGAAGTGGCATGGAAAGATTCTGAAAGAAAGTAGAGTGACAAAAAAGGGAAATAGATGTTGACTTAAAAATGAACTCCCATTCATTCTAACTTACTTTTTTTTTAAAACAAACAAAATAGGAACTTTGCCCTTTCTCTAAAAGTACACTGTTTTGTATGATTGAGAATAGTTTATACACAAAATCACAGGCTTAAAATCTGAATAGTATTAAAGAGATGGATAGTTGTTTTTCATTAACTTTGAAATTAGTGCAGAGAACTTAGAGAGACATGGGGAGAATTTGTTTGGGGAAAACAGAGAAGGCAGCTACTGTTGATTCAGCACCATTGCAGGCAGACAGAGACATTTAAAATAATATAATTTAATACCAGTAATAATCTCTGAAGAAGGTAAGCATTAGGATCCTCATTACCAGATTAGAAAACAGAGACATGCAGAGTCTTAAGGAGTTCACCCAGCAAACAGGAGGGTCATAATTAAAACCTGGGTTTGGGCTGGGCGCGGTGGTTCACACCTATAATCCCAGCACTTTGGGAGACCGAGGAAGGTGGATCACTTGAGGTCAGGAGTTCGAGATCAGCCTGGCAAACATGATGAAACCCCGTCTCTACTAAAAATACAAAATTAGCCGGGCGTCGTCGCACATACCTGTAATCCCAGCTACTCAGGAGGCTGAGGCAGAAGAATTGCTTGAACCTGGGAGGCAGAGGTGTCAGTGAGCAAAGATCGCGCCACTGCACTCCAGCCTGGGCGACAGAGCGAGACTCCGTCTCACACACACAAAAGAAACAAAACCTGGGTTTGTCTGACCACAGAATTCAATCTAATGAACCACATAATGAATCTGCTTTTAAACTTCTGTTTTAAAGAACTGAGAAATTGTTATGATGTAAATGAATTCAATGTAGCAGTTATATTAGGCAAGGTGTGTTCTCGACTACATCAGTTTTTCAATTGACTATATATATATATATATAATATTATAAAATATGGTAACTTTAAACAACTGAAGATCTCATAATAAAGATAGATATATATGATCAGGTTACCAGAATTCCTGCACTAGTGAAAATTATTTGAATAAGGGCCAAACAATGTTTTATTTTTCGAGATAAAGTGAGAGGCAATAAATTAGCGAAACAATTATCAACCAAAATTCCCTGGTATGCTTTTTCTATCAGGATTTTATTTACAGCAGAAATTTTTTCTTCTGTGTTTCCTCACTACTGTCTTAATTCTCAAGAAATCACGTTGAATACAACCCCAGAGGGGAACACCTGGCTACATAGCCCTTGAATACATATTGCCTGGGGGCTCTTCTAGGCTTTCTCAGAAATCAGAACATATTTGTTTTGCATTTTTATGACTTTTTAAAAAACTTCTCTTTTTAGTACTTATGGAATTGTATAAACCTCAGCACAATTATACTTACATAGGCATGGCACCTTTTAGTCATGATGGAATTTACGTACTAAAGTGCTTTTAGTGCATTTTTAGAAATTCCTTACTGTCCCTAAATCAAAAATAATTCATTTTGAACTAAACTGTTTCATTTTTCTGTTATGTAAATCATGGCTAAAATACTGACAACAGGGGAGTTGTATAATTACTTTGAATTCATAAAAAATCCAGGTATTGCTAGAATGTTAGTGGAAAGAAAAGTCAGACACATAGGGTTTGTTGTTCATTGATTGATACTTACTAGATTTCTTTACCTTGGGCAAGTTATTCAACATTGTTACTCCCTGGTTTCTTCAGTTCATAATGGTACTGACTTTACAGGAAATTTATATAAAGTGCCTGGTATAATGTCTGGCACAGTAGTTAGTTAACACATTCTAAGGATTTGAGTAACAGATAGTAGAACTTTCAACTCAATATGAGAGTCTTTATAAACTACACTCTATTTTAATATTTTTTAAGCACAGAAGACAGCTTGTTTTATTACTGGTAACTCAAATTGTGAAGATGTACATCCTTTTTCATTGATCCCAATTCGGTCTACCTGAAAATTCTACCTTCCTACATCAGATAGAGCCTTTGATTCTCTCTAAATAATGAGGAGAAGTCTGATAAGCTTATATAACTTGTTTTCCCTCACCTCTTGTAAGCTAAACATCTTTCAGTTTATATATATATATATATATATGTTTTCTACATGATGTGTCAATTCAAGCTCTTTGGGTTTTGGCTTAAGCAAAACATTCTTTCTTTAACCCATGTACTGGAGTAGATCTACCAGCTACAGGTTTGGTATGACCAGAGGCTCAGATTACATCTTTAGAACCTTGTTTTGCCATCTTCAAAACTTGTCTTACATTCTACCCCATGTTGGCCTCACAGATTTATCCATTTTAATGTTAAGATAGTCCCAGCTTTGTGACTTCATAACTCTGAGTTTAGTGGAAAAGACAGAAAATGTCCCCAGCCAATTCTCATTAACCACAGTATTAATCCCTGTGGCATGACAAATATAATATATTGATTAACTTAAATATGGGAGACAGGTTTAACATAACATATATAAACTAACTGGGTTCAGGCCAGTTAGAATGGACACTGGCCATAAATAGCAATTATGGCCGTACAGTGCATCTTTACTGATCTTAATTCTATTTCAAGAACTCCCCTTGACCTGCCCAAGAAGCAGACTGTAGAGTCAACTTTACCCTAAATACAAGGATTAATAGTGGAAGAAGTCTTGATTCTCAGGAGGGAAACAGGCTTATGGCCACCATAAAATAAAGACTGGTTGAATAATCTGGATAGTAAATCAAGCACGGTTCACTGAACAAGATTTTGAGAACTTTCAACAATCTTATTATTTTGCTGAATTTATTTCAGTTAGACAATTGTTCTTTTAAACGTGTTCCCCATAATTAAGTACTCATCATGAAGTCTGAGCAATATAGTACATAGTAGGAATATTACCTGTTTTTGCCTAAAATCTATCCTTCTATTAATTAAGCTCCAGATTACTGCAATCACCAATATTCTCCATTTGAAATATTGTCAAGCTGGGACCCTCAGGATTCTGTACTTGTAGTTTATTTATTTATTTTTTAACATTAAACTTCAAATGTAAAACCCCTGTCTTATAAAATGTAGACCTACTTGGTTTATAGTCTATCCTCCTGGCCATTCAAGATAACACTAAACATTCATACAAATGCAAGCACTAAATCATCATCTAGAACCTTAAAAATATCATATTCAGTCACTGAAAAATAATAAGCAAATAAACATCCAATCATGGAAAAGCTAATAAAAGAAGACCACCATAACACGGTAAAGGAGACCTTCTCTCTAGATTTATATGAACACTATTTGGGTAGGTTTGATCAACCTTATGAATGTACTTTGGTCCATATTTCTCTACCATGTGGACAAAAATATAATGTATGTTTTTGTTAAATGCCTAGTAAAAATTAAAGACCATTATTTTCACACAGCTCCTTGAGCTGACCTAGCTGTAACCAAAAGACTTGCTAGCTTGTAGTTATTTATTTTCTTAGTACCCACACTCTAGGTAATTAATTATCAAATTTAAAAGTTTACTGGGTCCACATCAAACTCACTGGCCTAGACACTGAAGGATCCATTTTCCACTTGGATTTATGATACCATCATCCTTTACTTATGCAGAACTTGGAAATTTAAGATTCCAAAATAACACATCATCAACTCTACATTATCCCGAAACATATTATCTGCATTTCAACTTATCCTCATAAATCTCATTTTCAAGTTCTGACTTCTATAATTAAGCAGAGTGGGTGATGATGTCTTGTGCTACTGCATTCTTACTTAATTTCTTTCACCTGTGCCAGCTGTGGCACAGTAGGAAATCTTTTAAACAGAAATAATTAATTATCTCTTTACACCCAAGAAAAGCATGGAGCAGAGATTTGACAAACTGTAAAGATTAAGAGGAAAAAAAAAGTTACACATGGGCTACTATGTTATAATATAGAAGCATACTTTTGGGATCATGCTATTCTAACCCTTTCATCTTGCAGGTGAGAACACAGGCTCAGAGAAGTTCAGTGATTTGCCTAATGTCTGATAACTAGAAAGGGTCAGAGCCAGGACAAGGGCTCAGGATTTATGTCAATCCAGATACCTTCCTATTTCCCCACCATGCCCCTGGGTTGAAAAGTGATAATCTAACCAATATGGAATAAAGAGTTCTGAAGGAACGAACAAGAAGGAGCAGATGGTTAACTTTATTTATTCATCCATTCAGGCATATATTCATTTTAATTTCCATCAGTGAGCACTCACTTCTGCTAGTCACGGGTTTAAACTCTATGGGGTATAAAGATAAGTAGGGTAAGCACTAGGGTAGGCACTATACTCAGAAAAAAAATCTACATTCTGAGTTTTACTGTTACAGAGGATATATACTGTAGCTTTATGTTACCTTGACAAAAGTAAATACAAGTCCAAGAAAAAGAAAACCAGAAACATTCACATTCAACATTGATTTTCAAAGTATTTTGGTTATTTTGATTAATATTGTCTTTTCAGGCTATAAAAAGAATGCATTTCTTTCATATTTTATTTCTTTAGAATTCATATTTCATGTTTGCTGTAATGAAATGCTGCATGCTGTTTTATTTTATGCTAAACAGTTTAATGTTAGTAAATTGTTTCCTTTAACAAATAAAATTAATTTTAAAGTGTCAACAACTTTACAAATCTGTAATAATCTATGGTTTTCACAGTAGAAGAGTAGATCATTTGGCAAGACCACATACTATTTTATCATTAAATGATTTTAGATTTTAAAAATTATGTGTTCCCAAGTGGATTTTCTATCAGTTATTTTTAAAATTATGTTTATATTTTTCTTATTAATTTCTCCAATCTCAGGGTCATGAACTGGCAGTTTGAGTGCATTAACAATGTGATGGCTAATATTTGTGGCCTAATCTCTTTAACCAGCACTGTGAACAAAGAATGAGCTGCCACATTTTCAGAGAAAATACATTCTTTATTCTCACACATAATAATATAGCTTACATAATATATTTCCACAACAATGAAGAAAATATATCTCTCAGAACAAATTTTTCAAAAAACAATGTATTTGAAATCATTTACCCTAGAAAAAGTTCCCTCAATTTTTTTTAACAATGAAGAAAATATATCTCTCAGAACAAATTTTTCAAAAAACAATGTATTTGAAAACATCATTTACCCCAGAATAAGTTCCCTCAATTTTTTTTTAACAGAATAGTTTAAACCAAGACCAGCCAGGCCAACATGGTGAAACTCCATCTCTACTAAAAATACAAAAATTAGCTGGGTGTGGTGGCAGGTGCCTGTAATCCCAGCTACTAGGGAGGCTTAGGCAAGAGAATTGCTTGAACCCTGGAGGCGGAGGTTGCAGTGAGCCAAGATCGTGCCACTGCACACAAGCCTGGGCAACAAGAGCAAAACTCCATCTCAAAACAAAAACAAAAACAAAAAAAAAAACCAGCTATTACATTTTCATAATCAAATATAATTAAATATGTGTCTGTTTAGAGATACTTTTGGGTGCAAAATACATTATAAGAGGCATACTTTCAAAGGTAAAATAATGGGAATCTCTCAATATGTTAATGCAATATTTAAGAAAACAGGAAAGAATATTTGACACAGAACTGCCCTTGAAAAATCTGACTTTAATGGCCATTTATGCATTACATATATCAGAGACTGAAAATCATTATATGTGCAAGTGTGACTCAATAAGTGGGCTCTGTACTCTGCACCCCCAGTACTTATGACTCTTATGATGCCGATGTAACAATTTATTCTCAGATAGGCAAGTCTGTCCCAGATTCTGGCTGCAAAACATTACAGCCTATACTGATTCTACTTTAGGAAAATTTTACGTCTTCCTTTCTATGTACCTAGCTCATTAAAATAGAAAATAGGCTGTTTTCACCCAGTACATGTGCTAATTTTCTTAAAAAAAAATGCTGCTCAGCTCTAGGTGACAACCTGATGACTAGTGAAAAGGAAGGCAACCTCTCCCTTTCTTTTCCAAAACACTTCACACTTCTTATTTAGAGAACAGATAAACAACCTTGTGGTTCATCCAGGACTTCTCTTTCTACTTTGCTTAGTCTGCTATTTGTATCTGGAGATCATGTCTAAATTCTTATTTCTTTTGTATCTTTAGTGTGTAATACAATGCCTGGCACATAACAGGTACTTATACATTTTTAAAACTGAAAATTAATTGCAACACTATTAATTGCTTCTGCTTTTTTTTCTTATAGTTTGAGTTCTGGGATATATGTGCAGAACGTGCAAGTTTGTTACATAGGTATACACGTGCCATTATGGTTTGCTGCACCCATCAACCCATCATCTACATTAGGTATTTCTCCTAATGCTATCCCTCCCCTAGCCCCCGCGACTCCCCAACAGGCCCCTGGTGTGTGATGTTCCCCTCCCTGTGTCCATGTGTTCTTATCGTTCAACTTCCACTTATGAGTGAGAACATGAGGAATTTAGTTTTCTGTTCCTGTGTTAGTTTGCTGAGAATGATGGTTTCCAGCTTCATCCATGTCCCTGCAAAGGACATGAACTCATCCTATTTTATGGCTGCATAGTATTCCATGGTGTATATGTGCCACATTTTCTTTATCCAGTCTATCATTGATGGGCATTTTGGTTGGTTCCAAGTTTTTGCTATTGTGAATAGTGCTGCAGTAAACATACGTGTGCATGTGTCTTTATAGTAGAATGACTTAAAAGCCTTTGGGTATATACCCAGTAATGGGATTGCTGGGTCAAAAGGTATTTCTGGTTCTATATCCTTGAGGAATCACTGCACTATCTTCCACAACGGTTGAACTAATTTACACTCCCACCAACAGTGTAAAAGCATTCCTATTTCTCCTCATCCTCTCCAGCATCTGTTGTTTCCTGACTTTTGAATGATTGCCATTCTAACTGGCGTGTGATGGCATCTCATTGTGGTTTGATTTGCATTTCTCTAATGACCAATGATGATGAGCTTTTTTTTTCATATGTTTTTTGGCCACATAAATATCTTCTTTTGAAAAGTGTCTGTTCATATCCTTCACCCACTTTTCAATGGGGTTGTTTTTTCTTGTAAATTTGTTTAAGTTCCTTGTAGATTCTGGATACTAGACTTTTGTCAGATGGATAGATTGCAAAAATTTTGTCCCAGTCTGTAGGTTGCCTGTTCACTCTGATGATAGTCTATTTTGCTGTGCAGATGCTCTTTAGTTTAATTAGATCCTATTTGTCAATTTTGGCTTTTGTTGCAACTGCTTCAGATGTTTTTGTCATGAAATCTTTGCCCACACCTACGTCCTGAATGATATTGCCCAGGTTTTCTTCTAGGGTTTTTATGGGTTTAGGCCTTTCGTTTAAGTCTTTAATTCATCTTGAGTTAATTTTTGTATAAGGTGTAAGGATGGGGTCCAGTTTCAGCTTTCTGCATATGGCTAGCCAGTTTTACCAACACCATTTATTAAATAGGGAATCCTTTCTCCATTGCCTATTTTTGTCAGGTTTGTCAAAGATCAGACGGTTGTAAATGTGTGGCTTTATTTCTGAGGCCTCTGTTCTGTTCCATTGGTCTATATGTCTGTTTTGGTACCAGTACCATGCTGTTTGGTTACTGTAGCCTTGTAGTATAGTTTGAAGTTAGATAGTGCAATGCCTCCAGCTTTGCTCTTTTTGCTTAGGATTGTCTTGGCTATATGGGCTCTTTTTTGGTTCCATATGAAATTTAAAGTAGTTTTTTCTAATTCTGTGAAGAAAGTCAGTGGTAGCTTGATGGGAATAGTATTGAATCTATAAATTACTTTGGGCAGTATGGCCATTTTCAGGATATTAATTCTTCTTATCCATGAGCATGCGATATATTTCCATTTGTTTGCGTCCTCTCATTTCCTTGAGCAGTGGTTTGTAGTTCTTGAAAAGGACTGTCACATCCTGTGTAAGTTGTATTCCTAGATATTTTATTCTCTTTGTAGCAATTATGAATGGGAGTTGACTCATGATTTGACTTTCTGTTTGTCTATTATTGGTGTACAGGAATGCCTGTGATTTTTGCACATTGATTTTGGATCCTGAGACTTTGCTGAAGTTGCTTATCAGCTTAAGGAGTTTCTGGGCTGAGACGATGGATGGGGTTTTCTAAATATACAATCATGTCATCTGCAAACAGAGACAATTTGACTTCCTCTCTTCCTATTTGAATACCCTTTATTTCTTTCTCTTGCCTGATTGCCCTGGCCAGAACTTCTGCTTCTTTATAATGGTGAACGTATCTACTGAGATTCACGTAATAGAAGTTTAGGTAAAATTTAATACTTAAACGGTAAAAATTACTTTCTCTTAAATACTTTTCTATATATAAAGGTTTATTTCCATGAGATGAACAACGTATTTTTCCTAAGGGAGTGACAAAGAATCTATTCAGGCCATGTAAAACATACTGTCTTGGTTTGCACTGCATTAGCATTCAGTACAACAACAACAGTTTCAATTTTAAATCTAAAGACTAAATAAGAGAAGATAAAGGAAAGACAATTACCAAAATACAATAAAATTGACCTGTAAAATGTGTATATCTGCTCATATACAGATAATATGTAGCATGAAACATTGATTTTAGTTTTTTTTTCTTTCCAAGTGATCTAATAGGTAAAAAATGTCCGCTTTATTTGCATTAAAAAGAACTGATAAGTGGATCACTATATGGTTGTCAGCTACTAGATAAAGGGTGCAAGAGAAACATATTATAAAAATGTTTGAAGCTAAAAAATGCAAATGATTAAAATTTCATGAGAACATGAAATAGGAATATTAATAAAGTTATTTCTAATATGTTAAATATATGCATTCTATTTTTCTACATACCTGCTGTGCACTTGCAATAATACAACTGATTATATGGTGTGTAAAATTAAACATTTACTTACTGAAAGACGTTAGTTTCATCCCCCCAGCGCCACAATAATATCACCACATACCACTGGCAGTATTACATTCTCATCCTTAATAATACTTTTAAGCAAATCAAGGTTTAACATGTGTGACTGTCAGCAGAAAGGTGTTGAAAATTCATTTAAACCCCAGGCTTGGTTGACTGGGCAAATTCGAAAGATTACAGGCTTCTAGAATAGCCAAATAATTATATAAATAATTACTTTCTTACTAAATATTTAAATCATTAAATACTACCCCCCAAAAACCTCTTCTGAGCCCTTTATTCTACCCTAAGATGTTGTATTTCTAATAAGTACATTTATTATGTGTTCTGGAGTTAATAATTAGAATAAATGACAGTTTTAAACAATAGATACAATATAATCGTTTGAGTACCAGAAAGTTGAGAAAGATGAAATAACAATTCTTTTCATAAACTTCTCTCTTTGAACAAGTTAAGCTAGATGGTTCATCATACACCATATAGGCTGCATCATAATCCTTCGAACTCTAGGTTTCATAGATACTATCACACTCATTTATTTATTAATTCAGTTAACATATATAAATGGTTTACTCTGCATTATTCTTTGTGTTAAGCACTAGGAAACAGATGTATAGAAACAGTGTGTGCATGAAATGAGAAGCTATTATTAGCGAGAGAACATGGTATAAAAGAGGACAGAAAGAAATAAAGACAATGAGTTAGAAAATTTGAAAATGCACAGTTCAGCCAGAACTTAAGGACAGAATCAGATTTTAAGAAAGCAAGAGAGAAAAAGGTAAAGAAAACAGGAGGCACTTTGAACATATTTTGCCAATATTCTCTTTTCATCAATAGTGAAAGCATCCAAAATACACAGGCGAAATCTGATTAAGAAAAGATCTTTGTCAAAACTGTGCTTCCTCTACTCTACTTTGCAGTAGACCTGGTCCTAGCACCATTATCTAATGATGACACCATGATATGAAAACCATCATGCAATTAGAGGCAGAGATCAGAATCAAGATCCATTGATTCTAACTAGGGAGAAGACATTTTAAAGCACTTGAGAGGGGTGCACAATGAGTGACACAATGAACATGACACAAATGATTTCTGCACATAAGTACTGGGGCCAGAACCTTAAAAGGAACTTCTCTGACCTGCTGCTACTTCTACCAACTTTCTTCAATCCAGAGCTGATAAAAAACAAAACAAAACAAAAACAAAGATATGCAAATTTCTAATGTCTGCTTTTCTAGTCACCAGGCACCAAGCTCTGCAAAAATAAACCCAGTAATCAGGTACGCTGAGTTGGGGCACCCTCTGGGTGTCCTATGTAAGGATACTGAGCCATCCAGACATTATGTTGCTGGGCTTTCTCTCTTTACCATCTCTCAGGAGAGTGTAGACCTCCAGGATGGGAAATAGCACAAGGAACCAGCAATAATGATAACAATATGAACAAAAAAACAAAACACCATATTAACAGTACTGTGGGTTTATGTGGCCTTTTACAGAAATCATATGTAGAGTTATTTATGTTAAACACAGCAAGGAAATTGAAGACAGGAGATAATTGTAAAAGGGAAGCAATAATATTTAGATTAGTGATTTCAACAGTTTTTTTTTTCCCCCAAAAAATAATAGCAAGGTAAGGGCCAGTCGTGGTGGCTCACGCCTATAATCCCAGCACTTTGGGAGGCCGAGGCGGGTGGATCACGAGGTCAGGTTTTCAAGGCCATCCTGGCTAACACGGTGAAACCCCGTCTCTACTAAAAATACAAAAAATTAGCCGGACGTGGTGGCGGGCACCTGTAGTCCCAGCTACTCGGGAGGCTGAGGCAGGAGAATGGCATGAACCTGGGAGGCAGAGCTTGCAGTGAGCCTAAATCGCTCCGCTGCGCTCCAGCCTGGGCGAAAGAGCGAGACTCCGTCTCAAAAAATAAATACAAATAAATAAAATTAAATTAAATAAAATTAAATTTAAAATAATAATAATAGCAAGGTAAGATATTTCAAATTTAAAGATTCTCTGGTCAAATATAAAGGTCTTTCTTGGATATTTTTCTTGGAGACAGGGAGAGGCATACCTCATTTCATTATATTTCATTTTATGGCACTTCAAGGCTATTGTGTTTTTTACTAACTGAAAGTTTTTGGCAACCCTGCATCTAAAAATCTATTGTGCCCATTTTTCCAGCATCTCCTCTCTTGCTGTTTTTGTGTCACATTTGGTGATTCTCGCAATATTTCAAATATTTTCATGATTATATCTATTGTGGTGATCTATACTAAGTGATCTTTGATATTACTATTGTAATATCAAACCATGCTTATATAAACCATGCTTATATAAGATGGCAAAATTGACTAATAAATGTTGTGCTGGTTCTGGCTGCTCCACCCACTGGCTGTTCCCCAATATTGTTTTGCCTCAGGAAATAGGCCTCTTGAGGCTTATTATTATTATATTATTTTGTACTAGAAAGGGCTGAAAGTTGTAATTGCAATTGCAAGTCCACATTTATTAAAAATAAACCAAAATTTATAAAAGAAAACCATGAGAATCAAGATATTGATCTTGCATTAAGAACATTTAGCTTAAAATTCAGTTGAATTTTCTTAAAAAACAAAGAAATAGTATATTACCATGTGGAAGTTAACATTTTAACACAGTTGGTTCCTACTTGAGAGTTACTATACCCATAACAGGTTCACAAAGAGCAATACAGCCACCACTTGGGCTATTTCCAAACAGTCTAATATAAACGGCATGTTAGCCAAGTGCACAAATTAAGTAAATCAAAGTTCCTTTGCTTTTGGCCAGAATTACAACTGAAAGTGGTGAAGAAGACAACTTCATTCTGATCAGAAGTTTTAACTGACTATCAATCAAAAAGTAATTTCTGAGAGTCATCTTACAACAAAGAATCCCCAAACAATAAAAACGGGGGTAAGAACATGTTCTTTAAACAACAGAATCATCACAGACAAAAGCAAGGAATATGTTTGATTTTGAAATGAAAAGTACCATCAGGGCAGCCCACTTTTCATTCTTGGCACTTTAGATATTCCTCACAAAAAATGCTAAGCATATTTATAGCAATGTGAACAAGTGAGAGCTGAGTTAATTTCAAATCCAGACACAAAAAATCTGAGGCTTAGCTTTAATTCACAACAAGTTTTACAATTCCCTCCACGTATCAATAACATGGGAGTTCTCAAAATCAAACAACAATAAGGAAAGGCTGTTGCAACCAGAACACCCCCAGGCTTAGCTCTGTCAGCAGTGGCAAAGGAAGATCAAACCTACAAAGACAGTAGAAACATTACCATCAAACCTCAGATCATTAATTCATAAAAGTACAGCCTTACAACACGTTGTACTCCATTAGTTCTATCCTGACAAGGACTGAAGATGTCGTATTAGTGATTACACAAGAGGCAAAACCATCAAGTTTAACTTACTTAAATTTTAACAGTTTTTTTATTTCAATAAATTTATTTTGATGGTTGAATTGTTTAAGAGGAAAGAAGAATCTGTTCCTGTTTTTCAGCTTGTTTCTGTAACACTGTGCAGCAGTAATTAATCCTATACACCTTTATTTAAAACACTTTGCCTTTTAGATGCGATTTTTTTTTTTTGGGGAGACCAAATGTCACCAGCTTATCATCTACATTGATAGTACCATTCTCAGAACATTTCTCAACTGACACTGTATGGACATACTTAGTAATTCTTTTCACATAAAGCATTACATTCTGATTCAACATGAAATTTTTAAATAGCATTATTATTAATTGAGAAGAGCTTCCACTCAATTCCATTAGTCCTTCAAGTGAACATTAAAGGAGGCTTCAGGTAGCTAGAGTTAACTTGTTGTACTCTGGAAAGAGGCAGAGTTTCAATGTTCAATAGGCCTCCCTATTCCCTGAGGCAAAACAATATTGAAATTAGGCCAGTGAAAAGTCCTGCCGTGGCCTCTAAGAATTCAAGTGAAAGGAAGAACTGCACATCCCTTATTTTAAAATCAAAACTAGACACAATTAAGCCTCAAGAGGAAGGCATGCTGAATGCCAAGACAGGGCAAAAGCTAGGCCTCTTGCACCGAATAGTTAGCCAAGTTGTGTTGTAGAGGAAAGGTTCTTGAAGGTTATTAAATGTGTTACTCCAGTGAACACCACAGATAATAAGAAAACCAAACATTCTTGTTGATGATATAGAGAAGGCTTGAGTGATCTGGATAGAAGATCAAACGAGCCACAACATTCCCTTAAATCAAAACCTAATGCAGAGCAAGACCCCAACTCTCTTCAACTCTATGAAGGCTGAGAGAGGTAAGAAAGCTGCAAAAGAAAAGTCAGAAGATAACAAAAATGGTTTCATGGGTTTTAAGGAAAGAAGCCATCTCCATGACACAAAAGTATAAAGTGAAGCAGCAGGTGCTGATGTAGAAGCTGCAGTAAATTATCCAGAGGTCTAGCTAGGATCATAGATGAAGTGGCTAAACCGATTTTTAGTGTAGATATAACAGCCTTATACTGGACAAGCACGCCATCTAGGACTTTCATAGCTAAAGAGGAGAAGTCAATGCCTGGCTTCAAACTTGCAAAGAAGAGGTTGACTCTCTTATTAGGGACTAATGAAACTGACAACCCTAAGCTGAAGTCAATGCTTATTTACCATTCTGAAAATCCTGGATCCAGTAAATTTATACTAACCTATTCTTCATGTGTTCTATAAATGGAACAACAAAGCCTGGATGGCAGCACATCCATTTATAGCATGGTTTACTGAATATTTTAAACCCACTGTTCAAAACCAAGTGTTCAGAAAACAGTATAACTTACAAATTATGACTGCTCATTGACAATGCGCCTGGTCACCCAAGACATCCGCTAAAGATATTCAAGAAGACTCACATTGTTTTCATGCCTGCTAACACAACGTCCATTCTACGAGCTATGAATCAAGGAGTAATTTCAACTTTCAGTCTCATTATTTAAGAAATGTATTTCTTAAGGCTCTAGCTACCATAGACAGTGATTCCTCTGATGAATCTGGGAAAATAAATTGAAAACCTTGTGGAAAGGATTCACCATTCTAGATGACACTCAGAACATTCATGGTTCATGAAAGGAGGTCAAAATATCAACATTAAAAGGAGTTTGGGAGAAGTTTATTCCAACCCTCATGGATGACTTTGAGAAGTTCAAGACTTCAGTGGAGAAAATAACTGTGGATGTGATAAAAACAGCAAGAGCATTAGAAGCAGAGCCTGAAGATGTGACTAAGTTGTGGTAATACTATGGTAAAACTTGAACAGATAAGGAGTTACTTGTTATGGATGAGCAAAGAAAATGATTTCTTGAGGTGGAATCTACTCCTAGTGAAGATGCTATAAATCTTGTTGAAATGACAATAGAGGATTTCAAATATTACATAAATTGAGTTGATAAGGCAGTGATGGAGTTTGAGAGGACTGACTGTAATTACGGAAGTTCAACTGTGGTTAAATGCTATCAAACAGTATGACATGCTAAAGAGAAATCTTTTGTGAAAGGAAGAGTCAATCAATGTGGCAAACTTCACTGTTGTCTTATTATAAGAAATTGCCACAGCCACCCCGACCTTCAGCAACCACTACTGTGACCACTCAGCAGCCTTCAACATGGAGGCAAGACTCTCCACCAGTAAAAAGATTTGTACTTGTTGAAGGCTCAAATTATTTGTTAGCATTTTTTAACCACCAAAGGTTTTACTTTAAATTAAAATATGTACATTTTTTAGACATATGCTATTGAATAATTAACAGATTGCAGTATACTTTAAACACAACTTTTATATGCACATGCACTGGGACACCAAACATCTTTGTGACTTGTTTTATTGCAATATTCACTTATTGTGGAGGTCTGGAACTGAAGCCACAGTATCTCTGAGGTATGCATGTATATTAATGTGATGAAGGGTCTAAAATATTTCACAGTAAATAAAATGTCTCATTTTTAATTAACAGAGTGTTTTTCTAACTGAAAACCCCTAATATAGTTCTAGGCATTTGAAATTAAAAAAAAAATGAGAGAGCCACTGACTATCCAGTATTGCCTCAGTAATGTTTCTTTAATCAAAAATATTTTACTAAAATTATTTACAGTCTTACATTATTTAAAAGTCTTGCTTCCTAAGATCTGTAAAATATGCTTTCTGTACAAAACAAATTATCTTAAGTTCTGAGGAAAATATTTTTTATTCAAATATGTGTAAACCACACCTGGCTAAATGGTATTCTTGTCTCTGTTGCTTGATATTTAGCACTATAATCAAACCATATTGCAGCGTTCACAGCTTCTGATGAGCCCTAAATGAGGCTCCATCAATCTGGCAGACTATTTCAAGAGTAGAACTAAAGACAAAAAATATCACCTTTCTTCTAAAATAAAACTCTACTCCACCAAATGCATCCAAACTAAATCATTTAAGTAGGAATAATTGAATCTGGGCATTCCTTAAGGATTATTCCTGAGCCATAATCTGCCCCAGCTGGCTCTAATCCTTACTAAATGATATGTGTCCTAAGAATATTACCAGCACATAATGAAAATTGAAAGGTATAGAAAATTAATTCCTAACATACTATTTAGTAACAGTATTTAAATCACTTATCTAATTTTATTTTTAAAACAATATGTTTAAAAGTATAATACTTTTTAAAAAGTGTATTGCTTATGATCCTACACCTATTAGGATATCACATCAAAACATATATTTCATAAAACATTTCAACATCACATTAATTCTGTCATTCCCCTCATTATTTGAAAGACAATATTTTTCTCAACATTCATTTCCTATTTAATAAAAACAATACCTAAAAAGTAATGTTTTCTACCTAATAACTATAACAAAAGTTTTTAGCAGCCATTATGGTTGTTTTATTAAGCACTGCAACCTTCCATTTCTCTAATCACAATACTGTCATATGATCTATTGACAACTATAAAATCATAAATATAGAATTTTTACCTTGACTTGTGTTGTAATGCAAATCAATTATTGGGTCAGGAAAAAAAAGGAAGCAGACGAAATATTTTTTCTTTTGTCTTTATATTGCACTAATTCTCACATGGCCACCTTGAGAACCCTCTAGTATTCAGTGAAGGATTTGATTGGCCAAGTACTTAGCTTCTGTATTGGAAAGTGACAGGTAAATGTTATATATGTAAAATCAAGAGGTGAAGATGGCATCATGAAAGAAAAGAAGCCAGGAAAATGACAATTTGGTTAGGGTTGAGTAACTCAGGTGGCGAGCTCTGAGAACTATAACATTGAATTGGTGAATGAGTGAGTGTATTTTTATTGTTAAAGAAAAAAAGAGGCCGAGCTGGGTGGCTCACGCCTGTAATCCCCGCACTGTGGGAGGCCGATGTGGGCGGATCACCTGAGGTCAGGCTTTGGATTCCAGCCTGGCCAACTTGGCGAAACCCTTCCTCTACTAAAAATACAAAAATTAGCGGGGCATGGTGGCTCATGTCTATAATCTCAGCTACTCGGGAGGCTGAGGCAGGAGAATCGCTTGAACTCGGGAGGCAGAGGTTTCAGTGAGCCGAGATAGTGCCACTGCACTCCAGCCTGGGGCGACAGAGTGAGACTCAGTCTCAAGCTAAAACAAAACAAAACAAAACAAAAAACTACCCGGGAGTGGTGGCAGGCGCCTGTAATCCACGCTACTTGGGAGGCTGAGGCAGTAGAATCACTTGAACCCGGGAGGCAGAGGTTGTAGCCAGCCAAGATAGCGTCATTGCACTCCAGCCTGGGCAGAAAAGAGCAAAATTATGTCCAAAATAAAAAAGGAAGAAAGATCTCTGTGGCCAAATTGTTGTGTTTTTTTCTTATTTGTTTTTGTTTTTTTGAAAAGGCCATATTTATTATCCCTCTAGAATATATAGATACTAATTGGTATCCTTAAATATGAATTAGAAATATGTTGAAACGAAACAAACACTTTCTATGATATACAGTTATATGACAAAATTTCAAAATTCAGTTGCCTTCAGCTGCAGCAGTAGCTAAAATCAGATAATTATAATCATTCATTATTTTTCCTTTGTGACAAGAAAAGTCGAAACTAAGCTTTAGTATTTGATATCTAGTCAGAAGGTGGAAAAAAATTTGTTCACTGAGAAAAAAAATATTATGGACTAGAATGTTTATGATTTAAATTCTGTCTCTTGAAGACATCTAAGATAAAGAGGAAAAACTTTTGCATCATCTTTACAGGAAAATAAAGCCCCTCAAAGACCAGTTGTTAATAGGTAATCAAGTGCAAGCAGTTCTTAATACTCCTCCAAATGCTCCACCAAAAATATTTCATTTTCATCCCTACCTGTCTACTTAATCTTGAGTTGCTTTGGGAAGGTCACATTATCACAGAACGGGAATAAACACAGTTTGCAGAGTTAGCCTGACTTGAGATCCTGATTTCCTGTTTGCATCCTAGAATCATGAGTTCTGTAAAAAATTCTGAATCCAAAACTGGACAAAAAATTCCTTGGATTTTTATACATACAAAACTGTGTTGAACTTTCTGTTTGGTAAAAAAAATTATAAATACACAATTTTCTTTTATTCTTATATTTAAGCTAAGTTACCTACTGGATTCCAATTGGATTCATTAATTCGGAGCACTATGAGATTCAAAAGCTCTTGGCCAAAGAACAGTTGCATACTTGACTTTCCGTAATGAGGAGTTTCACCACTAATCCAGGTAGAACAAATTAACATAGAAACATTGCATGATGTTTACTTAACTTCTCCTGCACATTGTGTTGAAACATTTGAATGTGATTAAAGCTTATTTTTCCTTTTGTGACTGAGATTTTTAAATTAATAAATGATTGATTAGTTGGTTTAAATATAATTGAAAGTCTCTTTGTTTTAAATAGTAAGTTAGGCCCTGGGAATAAAGCTATGAATAAAAATGACAATGGTTCCCTTGCCTTACAGGCAAGTGTATATGGGATCTCTGGCAGAAGATAACACTTCCAGAACAAAGGTGCTTTGAAATTCTCTGAAGTCAGCTGTATGGGTATACACTGCTACTAGTCCACCTGGCTATACATTGAGAAGACTGCTTAGCACTTATTAGGGCTAATGTTTATTGTGGGCTTAGATGTGCCAGATGTAGTACTATTTACTTTATTTCATTTTTTCCTTTCTCAGTCTGATGCCTATGAAGAAGTACTATTTTGGGTGTCATTTTATTGGTGTCAGTCAACCTTCACAAGGGTCAGTCACATCAGTATTTACTCTGTCTTCCCTGATTGGGAGAGGCAAAGTATCAATACCCTCATACCTCCTACTTTTAAAAATATATATACTTAGAAAGATAGTATCATTAACAGTTTTGAAAATAAAATCACCATATTTTATATCTTTTTTCTAGTCTTTGTCTATATACATTTGCATTAAACGAAATTGAAAATAGAATATACATACAATTCTATATGCTTTTAACAGTTTGATGTCAAAATAAGATAAAGCTCTAGAAAGCCAGATAATTATGCTAATCAAGAGTAATTAATTTAAAATGATGCCATTTCCCTCAAAGCTTGGTGAGCAGCAAAACGTGAAATAACATTTTGTATACCAACAGAATTTAGATAGCCTCACGGGTTTGTATAAATGGGATTTTGTCTTACATGATTTCATCCTCATTTGAACTCTTGCTAGAGATTTTCCTATTCATTTATGACATTCAATAAAGGCTATCTTCTCTAATTCCTTGTATGGATGTCATCTCTCTAAATGATAAACTTTGAGCTCAGGGAATATTATTTCTATCACTATATATCATGCAAATAAAGAATTCAATAAATATTTGCTAAAAGAATACATGAATATAAAAAGAAAAAAGTGTGATTCAGTATAAGAAATTTACAAATATGCATCATAAAACAGATGTCACTGTTTTGCTTTTGAAAAGAGCCACGAAATCTTAAACAAGCGGTATATCCTACAGAAGTAAAATCATCTTGAACTTCTTAATAATAGAGACTTTTAAAGTTCAAACTACCATCCAGGTACTCTCTCTTTTCTCCCCATCCTCTAGCCAGACTTATCAACAAATAACAGACACCAATATTACTCTAAACAAACAATAAGATCAAATTTATTGAAGTCGATGAAATGTACTGCTGGGCTACATAAAAATGATTTCAAATATTTGTTTTTTAAAAATACTTTTTCTAAACTACTATCACCATCAGTTGGAACAGATGAGTGAAGCAGATATTTGAAAGATGACTGAGTAAAACCGCCTCCTACACTGAATAATAAACATTTTTAATGGAGAATTAATGTAATGCAGACAATGTAGGGAAGGAATTTTTCTTTGTTCAAGTGACATCCTGGTTAAATCAACCTGTGAAAGTAGATATCTAACTGCTTCTTGAAAAACTCTTCTCTGTAGAAGAATTTAACCCAGTTATATCAATCACAACTGCCATGTTGCCTTTATTTTTATCCTCCGATTTCTGAATTTATGTCCTAATTTTGAATGGTACAAATTGAGTATTTGTAGCAAAGCTATTGAAATGTTTAGAAATACCTGGGGAGCAAGAAACACCAGACGGTTTTTCTTTTCTGGTCTCCAACTCTATAAAACTTATCTGAGAAGAAGTAAATATACTGAGCAGAGGATTTAAAAGCTTAAGGAGAGTAAAATATAAAAAGCCTCCCCAATCTTGAAATCTTAAGTCATTCTCCAAATTATAAAGTAGCTAAGGATGCTTGATCTTTGTCCCTAAAGGTGTGGCATAAATCCATCAACATGGACTTACAAACCACTTTGCAGGACTATATGGTTTTCAGAGTGACAGGACACACTAATGAACTTCTTTGTGAAATTCTGATAAGGATGGGAGGTATCCTGATTGTAGCCTGGTTATGCTGACTGTAGAAGAACAAAAGAACAAACTGTATATTTGGGCTGATGCTGACCTGGATAACTTAATTCTCTTTATCTTGTACATAAGAATGTGTGTGAAGTAAGGCAAGATTTTGAAGATTATTTTGATAAATGATGCCTCGCTCATCCTCATTACTCAACTAGTGTACCTCCTTCACGGACTCAGCACAGTTACAAAGTTACTTCAGAGCTTCATATTGCTCCACACATACAATCAAGGAGGTTAAAATTACTGAGAGTTTTCTGTCTTTAGAGAAAAAACAATGAGGAATATTTTGCTCCTGGCTAAACTTATCCCTTTTAAATAGAAAATCCTTGCCTGAAGGCAGAATGAACCTTTGAAAACTGCTTAAGCAATTTCCTACCTTAGATGCAGTGTACTAACCTTGGACTCTGCCTTGATTCAACAAGGAATAAGAAGGCAAAATTTTTCTCATTTCCTTGTCATTTAAGTTTCCTGTTGAGACTCTATACATAGATTGAGGTCCCAGAGTTAGCATGAAGTTCTTTTAATGGAGAGTTTTTTAAAAAAATTTGTTTTGTTTCTTATAAATGTACACAGCCAAGATATTTTAAAACACAAATAAAAACCATAATTCACTCTTGATAGATGTTGAAGTAACATGTTCTCCTTTACTTTAAAAAATACAATTAAAATAGCACTGAATAAAGTTCAATATGTTTTCAGGGATTAATTCAATTCAACCATGTTTACTTCTCACTTCTATATTTTATAACTTATGATTAAATTTTTCTCAAAGCATGGCTTACAGTCCACCAACATTGGAATTAGCTTGCTACTTGCTAAAACTATAAATTCTTAGTCTCTACCCTGTCCTCCCTGTGTGTTCTGCTGCTCCCTGTGGGTTTTGTAAAAATAAAAACTAATGAATCAGAATCTCTGGTGATAAAGATCTCAGATGATGCATTTTACCCATTTTCCTGGTAGATAAGATGTGCACTGATATAGCTGAACTGTAGTAATAATCAAGAAAATTGGGTTTTTGGCCGGGTGCGGTGGCTCACGCCTGTAATCCTAGCACTTTGGGAGGCCGAGGTGGGCGTCTCCACAAGGTTAGGAGATCTAGATCATCCTGGTTAACACGGTGAAACCCCGTCTTTACTAAAAATACAAAAAATTAGCCAGGTGTGGTGGCAGGCACCTGTAGTCCCAGCTACTCTGGAGGCTGAGGCAGGAGAATGGTGTGAACTCTGGAGGCTGGGGCGGAGCTTGCAGTGAGCCGAGATGGTGCCACTGCACTCCAGCCTGGGCGACAGAGCGAGACTCCATCTCAAAAATAAATAAATAAATAAATAAATAAATAAAATAATAAAAAAAAAAGATAATTGGGTTTTTTTAATTTCATAATTTATAAATTTGCTGTTCGAAACAGAGAATCCACACTGTCAAAATACATAATTTTAAATATATAAGGTGACATTTCTAAACATTACAAAGGGATCACTCTGGAAATTGAGGATTAAATGACTTCAGAGCAAAAAGCCAAAAATATTAGAATTTTAATATTATAGTATTTGGTATATAGGAGATTGAATTGAGAGCGTATTAAGAAGAGAACACTGTATGACCGTGAATGCTATTTTAGTGTCCCACATGTTTCCAGGCCCCAGTAAAGGCGCTCTCTGCTAGTTCAAATATCCTTAAAGCAAGAACTTTCCTCAATTGAACTAATAGAGTTGGGAAGCATTTTTTAATCCATCATAACACCTTACACATGTTGTAAGTCTTCAGTAAATGCTTAATGATTATTGACAAAAAAAAGTCATTTTTATTTATTCTAGGTAGATATGGTATTTGCTTTCAAATTTAATTAACTATCCTAAAACTGCATGATTTAGAATAATTCATTTTATTTCTCTGGATCTCAGTTCCCTCATCTATACAATAAATGTGATATTAAATCAGTGTTTCCCAAAATTCAGCCCACCCCCATGTATTGTGCCATATCTGCACACCATGTATATTATTATTTTCTTCAAAATAATATTCTAAAAGAATTAGCTATATTTTTCTAACATGCAGTAAAATTATATTTATTAAACATTTCCAGATGTTCACTCCTACACAACCAAATGTGTTGTATTGAACCTTAACTTTACAACCTTGCTTATGAAAAAATACTTTTGGCCGGGCGACGTGGCTCACGCCTGTAATCCCACCACTTTGGAAGGCTGAGGCAGGTGGATTACGAAGTCAGGATTTCGAGACCAGTCTGGCCAACATAATGAAACCCCGTCTCTACTAAAAATAGAAAAAAATTAGCCGGGTGTGGTGGTGTGTGCCTGTAATACCAACTACTCAGGAGGCTGAGGCAAGGAGAATCGCGTGTACCCGGGAGGCAGAGGTTGCAGTAGGCTGAGATTGCGCCATTGCGCTCCAAACCCGGGCAACAGTGTGAGACTCCGTCTCGGGAAAAAAAAAAAAAAAAAAAAAAAAAAACCTTTTGAGTTAATATTTAGTTTCATGAATTATCCTTCAGTTGCTACCTCTAGTTCCTTGGCACACGAAATTTCACCGTAAATTTAAACAATATTTACATCTAATAAAGTCCAGTTGTTTTCTAATTACAAAACAAAATGTTACTGATTTTATGGATACACACTTGAATTCTGCCTAAAACAAATGTTTAAAAAATTATGTGAATGATTGTAAACACTAATTACCAACAACAAAACACCAGGTCTGCATCAGAAAGTTTTTGAAAAAAGAAAATAAAATGGTTTGAAATACTTAAAATTAATGTTTGGAAGACAAATCTTTGAAGAGTGATGCAATTATCTGAGTACCACTGTAACTTAATTGACAACAATTTTAATTAGATTTTTTACATCTACAAGTCAGCTTGTCAAAGTCCCCAAACGCTCATGGCGTGCATTAAATGGGTCTGGTGTCTTTTCATATAGAAAAGATGAAAAATATTATTTGTAGCTTCTGTCTTTAAATTCTAACCTTTACTCATACATACAAATGTTGTAATTTTTTAAAAGCTATCTAATACTTCGCTTTCAAAAGTAATGGAAAGTAGGAAAATAATTGAGTACTCTTTGGATGTTTAAAATAGTGTTGTAAAAGTCATATTGAACCCAATTTTTATTTTTTCTTAACTGCTTATCACTATTAATTAGATGGAGGTATGACATTTATTTGAAAGCATAGACGATAATATTATATTTGTTTTAAAATGAACTAAAGGCTAATGAGTAGGATGCTATCCGAATCATTTCATTTTAATAAAGTTAATTTAATCTTTCATTTTATTTTGAATGAATGTCTTATGCAAAATACTCAGTCCTATCTTCATGAAGAGGCTACTAATTGGAAGACGCTACAACATTTGAAGTTACAGTAAATAAAGTAAAACAAGACGAAATCAGTCACAGACTGCTACAAAAGAGCCCAAATGTTGTGACAATATCAATTATATGTGCAGCAGAAAATCTGGATATTCAAAGGTTGAGGGTTTCCAAGTGAGAAGGGTCCCTTTATCAGTTCCTGCTCCTTTCTCTTCCTGAGTGTAAGAAGAATAGGGGGAAGTAGAAGTTTCAGGACAGGGCTCTTTAATAAGAATTAGAGGAGGCCGGGCGCAGTGGCTGACACCTGTAATCCCAGCACTTTGGGAGGCCGAGGCAGGTGGATCACCTGAGGTCAGGTGTTCGAGACCAGCCTGACCAGCATGGTGAAACCCCGTCTCTACTACAAATACAAAATTAGCCGGGTGTGGTGGCACATGCCTGTAATCTCAGCTACTCGGGTAGCTGAGGCAGGAGAATTGCTTGAACCCAGGAGGTGGAAGTTGCGGTGAGCCGAGATCATGCCATTGCACTCCAGCCTGGGCAACAAAAGCGAAATTCCATCTCAAAACAAAACAAAACAAACAAACAAAAAAACCTCAATTAGAGGATGTTTAAACTAGTATCAAATTCAGCAAGATTTCCCTCCCTCTACCTCTCTTTTATGGATAGGAAATCAGAAGTAATTTTAGCTTTAGATATACAAGGCTTTTGACAATAGAAGCGTATCTAAATTTTTATCTTTTATTTATCTAATGTAAACCTAGACATAAAAATCAAGATTTGAATGTAGAATTTATACTGGAGCAAGGTGAGTTCAAGTCCAATTTTAATAATATAACATTTAAATGATTTTTTTGAAAATACATATAATCGTGGTTATATTAAAAAAAAAGTTGAAGTTAGAATGAAAATGCTGGGACTGGATCCTGGCATTTCAATTTGCTGCTTCCTTAAGACACTTGATTTAGCTAAATCTCTGTTTCCTCATTCCTAAAATAAAAGTAATAAGATCTATTCTACCTCAGTAAATGAGTCTGTGAAAACTATACTACATAATAGAATTGAAGAGCTTAATAAACTAAACATCTAAATGATTACAGACTGATATTATAAGTACAATAATAAATATATTTCATGATATATGATCCAAAGAAGCACAATCAAACCAAACAAAAAAATTTTCATTTTATGAAATTTGAGCTCTATCATAGTCCAATTTCTTTATTCTTATACTCAATACTATTATAATACTATATTTTCTGTTGGTATCTGTGGAAGCTAAAGCAATTCCATCTTGGGTACTAATCCACCATGTTGACTTCTAGTTAACTCCAGTTCTAGAAAGGCCTCTAAGATCTCCAGTTTATCTTTTGTTTCTTGAGTAAGAGCATGTACTTACCAAAAATTACCGCATTATTTCAAAACAGCTTTGACCATAAATCCTGCCCTTAGGCATATTCACAGAGCACCTTTGCCTTTCCCTGCAATTGTCCTACACATTCTTTCCCTATGGTATATAAGCCCTGGGTCCAAGGGGTAAGGTCACTGAGCTGTGCCAGCATGTCTCATTGCTGGAGGCACAGGCATGGCTTCTGTTCAAATTTCCTATAAAATGTTTCTTTCTGAGAACAATATGTTCACCTCTTCCTTAAGCCTCTTGGCTTCCTCTGACTTTGAAGATATACTTGCATGGATTTGCCCCCTGCAGAAGAGTATTAACATTTTTTTTTCAAATTAAAATAATGATTTTCTTATTTTTAATCATCCAAATAATTAATTTTCAATTTCCATCATTTAATTCTACAATTCTAGAAAAATTTTAGGTAGAATAAAAACATTTCTCCTTACCAAAAATATGCAGTATATAATTAAGGATTTTTCTTCATGGAGAATTCCATAAATTAAGCTTGATTTTTGTTATTTTCATATTGCTAGTTTCCTTTTTCTAAGATGAAATTGGAAAGTTTTCAGTTTAACTAATTGCCATTTATATGTCTTCTTGGTTATTACATTTGAACAGCTTTCTTCATATATTCTTTCTTCATAAATGTGTTCATAAATTGATATTAATAAAGAGTAATGTTGATGTTTGGCATACATTTTCATTTTATCCTAATAAATTGTTAACATAATTATGATATGAAACAAGCTGTAATTTCTCTACTAAAAATAAGTTAATAAACATAAAAATTATTCTAAATCAATTTCAGAAACTTTCTTCTCAAATGCAAAGTTTAACCTATATGTACACAAATAAGCACAAACACACACACAGACACACACTCACACATACACCTGACCACAGATTTATTGGAGAGTTTATTTCTTTTTATACGCAAATTTCACTATACATTTAATTGAATAGGACTTACTCTCTCTGAAACACCAAAGAAACTCACAGGAAAAAGAGCCCCTCAAGGTAGTAAAAAACATTTTCATTTAAATTAAGCAACCATTTTATCCATAGAAAACATTAGACAATATTCTTTCCCCTGTCTTTCACAGTATGGAGCCAAGAAGACTTTTGTACATTTTGTTGCAATGTGTCTCTAAGTCACTGAACTCTGAAAACTTAAAATTATTACCTTGGAAAGTTGAGTTAAAAAAAATTCTAATATTTGCCGGTTTCGAAAGTGGAGTGTAAGTCATTAAGTTTCTAAATTATTGGCTTCCTATACCCTCTTCCCTGCTCCTTGACTCATGAGTGTCAGTACTCTGCCCTGATGTCATAGCCAAAGAGAACCCTGAATGTACAGCTGGCATAAATACCAGGACATGGTTTTTAAACTTCTGGTAACTAACTTAAAACAAATTGTAATCAATTAACTCAACTGTATTTAATAGAATAATAATTGCATCATGTTAGGGACCTTCTAGGTTAAGTTATAATTTTCATATGCAAAACAAACCAAAACAAAATAAAAAATCTGAGGCCTAAAGATTTACTTAACCTTTTAACTTGTTACATTAACAGAAAAAAAAAGAATCAGAGAATCCCAGTGGCTAAATGACCATTGAAGTTATTTAGTTCTTTTAAAAAAAAAAAGTAAATAAAACATAGTTAACAATTATAAAACAAAAAAATAAAAAAGCAAAACAAGTTAGTGACCAAGTCAGAATGTTAAACCAGGCATCGCAACTCCAGGAGAGAAGACTTTTTGTTTCTATCTATCTGTATATTTCTATCTACCAACATTCTGTTTACCTAATACATGTTTTAAAAAATGAAAAAGGGAGAGAAATGGGGTGTAGGGGGAGAGAAGGAGAAAATACATATCCATCCATCTTAATGAAAAAAATGTTTAGAAGAATTTTTTATTTAGCACTTTTGAATAGTACAATAAAACACCAGATAAGAAAGGGATCATTATGTGCTGATGTTATCACAAGTTATTCATATGATTTTATATTGTTTCCTGTCACTAAAGTTATAAACACAATATATAAGCACAATTACACACACACACCTTTGCCATATACATTTCAGCAACCTAATTTTAAACTGTAAAATCTAGTAAAGATTATTTTCCCCTGCCCCTTGGTAGTGCTATTTTTTTCTTTTATCACATGTAATGCATACAACAATTTCCAAGCATTGAACAACTTCATATTTCTCTACTATGAAAGATGAACTATAATTTAATAATTGAATGCCATCTGTTAATGCTTTTTAAAATAATTCCTGTTGTTCACTATGTATTTCTTTTTTATTTAAAATAAACTAAAATAAATATATATCTGAAACATATATCTCACCTATTCACATTATAATGTTTAATTCTTTTCAATAGGAGTGATCAATGTGATACACTTGAGAACAAATTTTGGAAACACTTCCAAAGTATTCATTTATTCACTACGTTCTTATGAAACACCTAAATACTGTAAGCCAAGCCCTGTTCTGCATTCAACGTGAATAAAATAACAAAAGTGCTGTCCTTATGGAGCTTAAACTCCTGTGGAAGAGGAAGATGAACATTCTAAATGAGAGAGAGAGAGAAAGTGTGTGTGTGTGTGTGTGTGTGTGTCCGTATAATGTACTTAATATATTATATATATAGTTTATAGACATTATGGTTTTTTTGTTCTTTTTTAGAGACAGAGTCTCACTCTGTCACCCATGCTGGAGTAGAGTGGCACGATCACAGCTCACCACAAACTTGAGCTCCTGGGCTCAAGCAATCCTCCTGCCTCAGTCTTCCAAGTAGCTAGGAATACAGGCATGAACCACCAAGCCTGGCTATTTTTTTTTTTTAATTTTTTTGTGGAGACGGGGTCTCACTATATTGGTTGCTCAGGCTGGTCTTGAATTCCTGGCCTCATGTAGTTCTGCCTTGGTCTCCCAAAATGCTGAGATCATGGGCATGGGCCACTGCACCCAACTTATAGTTAATATTCAAGTATATAATGCACAAACATTTCAGAAAATGATAGTTGAAGTTAAGGTGGTCTGGAAGGCTTCTTTGAATAGGAGAGACTTGAATGATGAGAAAGACACAACCATGCTCTGACTACTTTTAGGGGAAGAGGATTATAGGGAGAGAAATTGCTGTGATAGGTGGGAAAGAGATTGGCATGATCAAGGAAAGGAAAGCTGAACACTCTGGCTGAATGTGGTTGAGGTGGTGAATAATGCAAAAGAAAGTCAATAGTTTTCAGCTGGGATAATGTCGGGCTTTATAAGCCAGGGTAACTCAGTTGTTATTTATTCATTCCCCCATTAATTAATTTTAAAAAAGAATGTTAGATCTACCATGTTTTGGACACCAAGGACACAAAGATGGGCTAAGATCTCTGCCTGTTTCAAATAGAAGGTATACATGAGCCATCCGAACTACCAGTTGCTTTGGTTATTTTTGACAGAAAACTTCGATCAGCTCATTATATCCATGTGGACCTCATCTGCTGGATTTTTGAAATTTAAACTATTTAAATGTTTTTTGGGTACTGCCTCACATATGACTGCTAAAAGCTTCTGTATTGAGTACCTATCCATTTCATCGTGATTACACTTTATGATAAATTTCATCTTGAATTAATCACTCGTTATATTGCTATAAATTAGACATTAAAATTGCTCAGCTAATGACAGTATCACCAGTAAGCTGTAATTACTGTAAGCGGGATGTAATCTAATGTTTTTAATCTGTCAGATGAAAAATTTACCCCTATAAATACAAAAAGAAAGAGAGAAAGAGGCAGAGATGGACACACAGAAGGAAACACATATTGTTCTCACATTTATACAAAATTAAAAGTAATTTCCTTTAGAGGCCACAGAAAATTGTATATACTTATCATCCTAATATGTAATTTAGATGTCATAGACAGGGACCTAGAAGAAAATCAAACAATTTGAAATCCCTTATTTACATTTCCATGTTTGAAAAAAGTAGATTTTTTTCATGCATCTTTTAAGCAATATAAATAGAAACATATTCTGGCAATATTACTCTTGATAAATGCTAAGATGTACCTGCCAACTTATTTTTGACATATTCTTTAGAAGTTAGTTCATGAAATTAATAGGGTGTTTCTACAGATTTCATTGTAAAACATTATCCTACACACACACACACACACACACACTACATAAAATGTAGTTTTCCTCTGCTCTTTCATCTACATGTCAAACACAATTTATCAAAAGACATAATACAAACTACTATAAAGATGGCACAATTTAGAAACTAGTCACAAATAATGTCAACATACTGATTGCCTTTGTTGTTTTAAAGGAGAAAGAATAGCCTACTTGTTTCTATTTTAATCTTCCACTAATCTGTTTTAATAAAACTTTGAATTGGCAGAAGAATGAAATCTTTAGAGAACAAATATTTTGTAATAGATAAATTCGTATGTATGGGAGCAAAATAACCAAAATCTCTGGTAGCTGCGTCTGGTAGGGAACCAAATCTCCTAAGGCTTAATATGCTTCAGGTTTGTTATGAGGTTGGTGTGAAAGGGTGGGTACGGGTATTTTGTTTTTCAAATAATTCTGCCCATGAAAATTCTGTGTAGCTAAGCCCCATGATTCAAAACCAACCCTGTTGTAGAATATATCTATTCAAAGAAGTAGTAGAACTAGCACATTGTGGATTGTCTTAATATATTCAAAGTTTATGGAGTAATAGCAATACATTAGACTATGAAATAGTTAACTTGTCAACTGCACATTAAAAAAAGAAAGAAAGAGAAAGAAAGAAAGACAGACAGACAGACAGACAGAAAGAAAGAAAGAAAGAAAGAAAGAAAGAAAGAAAGAAAGAAAGAAAGAAAACCTTTCAGTATCATTTGCCTATCACCTACACCAAAATCTCTTCTGAGCCAAAGTACAACCAACTGTGAAAATGGGACCCAGGAAGCTTATGTAACCTGGATTTGGGAATCACTACCCTGTGAGTTGCAGTTTGCTGATCTGTTAAATGATTCTAATGACTAACATTTTATGTATATTTTTGCATGATGGTATTCCAAACACATTTGAATAGCTGTACATACCCAACAATATATCTAACTGGTTTCATATAGACGAAGCTTCAACAAACAGGACAATAGCAAATCTAGTACGACAGATACCCTGGAATGCAGATCATAGGAATTTTTAAGGTTCCATTGAGCAACCAAGTGTTAAAAATCCATTTTACTGATAGCCTTTTACCAACACATTAACTACTGTTCTCTAAAGCTTGACATGCAAAAAAAAAAAAAAATAATAGTACAGCTAAACTTCTCTCTGCATTCAGGGGTTCCATAATCACTTGCTCAATTACCATTTTTGACTGACTGGAGTACTCAAGCTAAATTAGCATTAGCATTCTTAGTTTTGTATGTGTGGAACTGCACTGTCTTCTCTGATTAGAATTGTGGTATCGCCATTAGATGTGGCAGCAGAGCACACTGCTCTTGGTGGTGTTTGACATATTTCACTCTAGCTTTCTTCCTTGATTCTAGTGAATAAAGGGTTTCCTTAATTGCAGTAAGGAGAATCAATAGCACTTTTTTTCAGTGACTTTGTGCTAATAAACTGCTCAACTACCACTTAGGATAGCTGTTACTTTGAATAATTATAAAAGACAATGGGATAAATTATTGCAGCGCAATAACCAATATGTTATTAATAAAAAATTTAACAACCATTTTTAATGATAAATGGAATCATTTACATGATGTATTTACTATGTAAAAGAAGAAATACAGTATCGGTATTCTTAAATTTCTTAAAATGTAATAAAAATCATTTAAACTACTAAGCCATCAAAAAGATCCACAGGAAGACTGAAGGAAGACATGATAATATGATGGACATAAAAGCTTCATTGAATGAGCCATTAACTACAGGTTTAATTTGTTTCAAAAAACAGAATGCCAGGGGTTAGCATTCTATGGTAATGTTAAATATGCCAGAGAATATGTGAGTTAGCTATCAAAAAGAGGATAACATCGGCCGGGAGCGGTGGCTCACGCCTACAATCCCCGCACTTGGGGAGGCCGAGGTGGGAGGATCACGAGGTCAGGAGATCGAGACCATCCTGGCTAACACGGTGAAAACCGTCTCTATTAAAAAGTACAAAAAAAAAAAAAATTAGCCGGGCATGGTGGCGGGTGCCTGTAGTCCCAGCTACTCGGGAGGCTGAGGCAGGAGAATGGCGTGAACCCGGGAGGCGGACCTTGCAGTGAGCTGAGATCGTGCCACTGCACTCCAGCCTGGGTGACAGAGTGAGCCTCCATCTCAGAAGAAAAAAAAAAAAGGATAACATCAATGATTTCTAACAACACCATTTGGTTCTTAAAATTATCTTTATTAAAAATTGTTTACTCAGTCTGCTGACACCAATTGGACACTTATTTCCTAGGCATGGGACAAGGCAAAGAAGGCACAAAAGTGAATACTTACCTCTGAATAGAATCTGATGGAGAGGGAGAGGCTGTTAGGTAAGCAGAATACCAAAAGCAGTATGGAAGCTTCTAAAGATTTGTATGAAGTGATACGGATGACAGAGAAGGAAGCAACTGATAAGTGGGTAAGAGTGTATCAGAGAGGCAACAAGTAAGGCCATCTATGTCTGTATCAACAATTTGAGTGATGATGGACTGTAAAATCCTACTGAAGTTCTGACAACACTTCCTCACAATATTCCTCTCACTATCCCAAATATCCTCAACATGTGTGCAGTATCATTCACAGGGTGCCGGACCAAGAGAGTTTTTCAGGTAGGCCATGATTTGAAAACCAAAGAAATCTATCTTGCCTTTGGTTCTGTAAATGAATAATAACTGCTTACATGTCTTCTCCATTTTTTATCAATTTACTATTAGTGATAGCTGAAATTAATTTTTCATTTTAATTTACTCACTTTTACAAAAATAATTCATCACTAGTATATGATAACGATGTTTGTATTTTTGCAAGCTGTCATGTTAGTGTCATTGTTTGTATTGCATATTTTCAAACAAGAGTATTTTTGCTTTGCCGTTTCTTGATAATCAAACTGTAAAACACATATGCTTTATGGCCGAAATATTATTCAGTCAGTCGTCCCATTTATTCAGTGGCACAAATATTCATTCAGTCATTCAACTTATTTGAAAAACACACGGGATCTTATTTTTGTACTCTATATCAAATTGGCCAAAGAGTGAAACTGTGAGTGAATTGAGTCACAACATACTTCATCTAGAGAAAATTTTACACACCACTTTAGCCTGAAGGGAATATGATAGCAAGGATCAGATATGTATGTCTAATGACAAAATTTTACACATATATTTATAGATTAGGCAAGTTATAGACAAAGGTGCTTGTTGACAACTGGCAGAAGAATACAATTAATTTTCACATTTTTCCTTCAGGAATGTTTCCTTCATCCTTCTGAATATTTCCTTTTGTCCAACTATTTGTGCCATTTTAATAGATCACAAATAGTAAAAAAGACCTTGTATTTTATTACTTCAATAACCTATTCCAAAACATCCATTTGTTAGACATCATCTCTGAACATCATCTGATGAATTCACGTTTATAACAGGGTTTCTTTCAAACTAGAGAAAGAGAAGTGACTGTGTAAATATTATGACAGTAAAGGCAGGAGTTTTTGAAAATAAACAATTGGTGCTCTAGGGTTCTGTAGAAATAATTCCAGGGATTATATACAAAGGGGACCAATCTATCCTGTCAGGGAACCTCAAACCTCACTCGAGTTAAGACAACAATCTCCTACAGATTTTATACCTTTAGCTTCTATATTGATTTAATACAAAGACAAGTTTTGTAGGTTTAGTAGAATGTTTGAAAATCACTGGATAATGAAGTCATTAATAAAGACAGCAAGAACAAAAAAATCTATTGGCTGTATCAAATAAATTTTGGGGATCCAGGAGGGGAGGTAGACGGGTTAGTTAGGCAATAAAGCAATGCTATTTTCAATCAGAATATTTCCATAAACTGCTGAATTTATGTTCCGTGATACAGGTTGAGATAAGATGTCTTTGTTTATCCAGGTACTACCATTATCTTCACAGTAGTCTATGGTGTCCCTGTCACTGGTGAACTTGTATCTTTTCCCATGACAAACAATAATGTAACCTCTTCACATCAGATGGAAAGGCCTAGTAGTAGTATCTATGTATCAATGGATGCTATACCCTTCCTAATATCTGGAAGGCTACAAAAGGCAATAGGGTGTGGTTTATGTAGTTCATATCTGCAGTAGTATTTTGTTGCTATAAATGTGCTTTTGCTTGTGACTGCAAAGTCCAGTGGGGAAATGTCAAAAGAAATCAAGGCCTTGATGCATGACCTGCATGAGTTATCCTTCCATAAAGGATGTCTGTTTTGAAGAAATTTTGTTATTATTCCAGATGGCAGTACTGTCATCTTGGCCACACCACATGTAGCACATTCAGGAATCATTCACTGTGTCTGGTGGCCTGGAAATGATTCTGCTATTGAAAAGACTGTAACGAAGTGTCAGCATATGCCAAGCTATTCAGTACTGTCCTCCAAAAGAACTTCTTTTCCCATGGGAAGTGACTAAGAAGTTTTGGTCAACAATCCAAATTTCTTTTGCCAGACTTTTGAAAAGGACAGTCTTCAATGTGTTGATCTTGTTCTTGGCTCAGAGTGAACCCAGGTTTATGTCAAATGGCAGCTATGCCTGTTATTGTAAAACACTGCTAGTCAGGTACTTTAGTTGAATTTAAATGATTTATGGATAGACACGTTATGTAACTGTTTAATTTTATTCATCTTATTAATGGGAAGCACCTTGAGGCGTGTCTATTCTGTTACTAAATGGAAATAAAACAGTATTTACTAGTCTTAATTGTAACCATCTAACATGGGTTATTTAATCCTTTGAACTGAATGGCTGAGACTTTTGCTAAGCCTGTGGAGCTGAGAGATGAATCCTTTTCACTCTAATTGAGGTCATAGATCTTAGTTAAATAACATCGAGAGTGCGATGATCTCAGGGCACCATAACTACACTGACTGACTTCAATGATGTTCCTTCCATGGTGACCTAACAATAGCAAAACTATTAGAAACCTCCACTCTAAAATCCTGTGGCACGGAATTTTCAGCTATACTTCCCGACATGTTCTCAAAACCATAAAATGAAGACATATTTTTCATAGTACAGTAAAAATGATGAAAGTGAAGATACACACTAATACTACATAGAGAAAGCTTCACAAATATGTACTTACCCTACTGGTTAAAAGCTGATGTGGAATTTGGAATGAGGGCTGCAGAGTATTTGAAGAGTAGATGAGCAGGCTGCTGTAATTTAATCTTGATTGGGACATTTTCCGTTGTCATTTATTGATATCCACTTTTGTCATTCTAGTTGCCTGAATTTATAAACTAGGGGAACAGGTTAAGTATTTTCACAGGCTGCTGGAGGAGTCGGTGGTGTGAATAAGTGATTATTTCAAAACTTCATAGGGACTGTAATGAAAGGTGGTAGGTACAGTACAGAGAGGAGCACAAAGAGGACAGTGCAAAATTATATTTAAGAGGATGGAGTTTAAAAGGCAATTAACTCACTATGGACAAACGATATGTGTGTAGGAAAAATGTAGAAATGTACATGTTGGCAAAGTTAAGTGTAAAAAATAAAAGCCTAAATCAAAAGATAAATGAAAATTCAGTCTTTTTTCATCAGACAGAAAAACTCTAAAGTTCTGCACAACGCATAACTCCAAGACAGTTTCTAAGATTTACTATTTTAAGCTCAAAGACTTAGAAAGTTATTTAGCATTAATCAGTTGATAGACTAAATGGGTAAGTGCCGAGAGAAGAGCTAGTGGGAGATAATTACTGGTAAATAATGAATGGAGTTTTCTAAAAGTTGTTGTGCATTTATCAATCCGTCTCAAGTGCCAGGAGTCTGCAGCTGTCAATGATTTTCTACCAAAGCAGTATTTAGAGCACTGAGCTTTCAGGATTTAAAAGAAAATGAATGAAGGACTTATTTACTTGCAGTTACTATCTAAATAATTACATTTTAGGATACCTAAAACTGCATTAGAACATTTAGTTATAAAAAATGTATGCACAACAACTGAAATTTATGCTGATTAAGGTATTTTCTAAGAGACATTTTATCAAGCTGCAAAGTACCAGAAAACTTTTACTTTCCATTTGACAAAGTGAATAGGATGACATGCTTGGAGTTATAGTTGGTGATGGCACAGGAAGCTCTAGGAAGATTAAAGTGCTTTACAAATAGTGATACATTTCATATTGTTTTTACTTTGAGTTTCCAAAGGGAAACACAGGGAGCAGCACAGAAACATGCCGACTAATAGAAGTTTAAAAATCAGAACACAAGCAATTATTAAAGCCAAATACAAAAAACAATTTTCACTTTGTAGAAAATAAAAAAAAGATTACACCCAAGTGAATGTTAGAGAAATAAATTTATATCATGAAATTAGAATTTTCACGTTATAGTAAACCCTTAATGAATTTCATTCATAATTGCCTTAAGTTTGTCAATTAATTTGCATAAAACATCCTTGATTTGGGGGTAGCAAAATATGAGGTAAATGTACTATGAAATTAGAGTGAAAATTACAGATAGCTTTGTTAAGATTGAAACAATTGTCCCAAAATGTTAGAAAGGTCCTGAAATGCTTGTCGAGAGGTTTTAAATATCCAGAGTACCCTTTGGGACATGAAATTTTATCCATGCCCTGTAAGACAATTCTGCCAGGCCTTCATATTTTCAGCATTTATTGAGCACCCATTATAGACAAGGTGTTAGGTAAAACCGTGGAGATACTTGGGTAAATGAGACAGAAAAATTCTGGGGTCTTATAATATAGTGGGCGTCAGACAATAAGGAAGTACTCACATAAGCAACAGAGATAATTATATAAAGTGATAAGAGATAGGAAGTAAATAAAAAGAATGATGATCCATGGAGTAGCCAGGGTGGACATTTGCAATATTTCAATGAGGTGGGAAGGTAAAATTGGAGCTAAAATGTGAACAATAGGAACAAGGATTAACTTAAAGAGTAGTCTGATTAGTTACTTCTTATTTAATAAGAATTTGCTTTCATTTCTTCCTTCATCACATATTTATTGAACATCTATTTTGTGTAGTCCAGGGAAGGGTTAGGTGTCAGAAATGTAGTAGTAACCAAGCCAGACCAGTCCCTGACATTACCATGCCTATCGCTTAAAAAGGAAGACAAAATTTAAAAAAGCAATGACAATAAAGATGGTGATTATTAAGATCAAGATCATAGTAGGTACTGTGACAGCTATGGTTAACCTAGTCTCGTGGTCAATGAGGACCATATGAGAAAAAACAGCATGAGAAAAAGATGATTGCTTTGGTAGATAGAATTCTCAGATAGCCCCAAGATTTCCTTCGCACTAGTGTGCGTGTCCCCTGCGTAATTCACAGAACTGGGTGTTTGATAGATTTTACTCCTATGATTAGGTTATATAATATGGTGCAGGTGACTTTTCGATAGGGAGATTAAGGATGAGCCTGACATAATATTACCATCCTTTAAAAGTCCCTTCTTTTTCTGAGTTATGACCCACAGAACTGTGAGCTGATAAATGGTTATTCTTTTAAGTTGTTAAGTTTGTGATAATTTGTTACCAGCAATAGAAAACTAATATAGATGTAGACAGTAATGATAAATCCTGCTCAATTAAAGTTGGTAGAGCCATAATTTAATAATCTAGACTTTGGCTTAAAATGGGTAGGATTAATAAGTAAGGAAGGATTGATTTACTTAGACTTAAAATGCTTGGTACTGTCATATATTTATAACTTTATTTAAACTTAACATATTATATTATCTCATTAAGTGTCTTTATGCACATCTACTCCCTGCCCCACACACCTTCCTAAACTATTAGCTCTTTAAAGTTAGTGTACTTAGCACATTTTCTCACATACGTAAAGGATAAGAAACATGTTCTTATGCTTTCACACTGGTTTTCATTTGATAAATATTTAATATTGATAACTGCCTTTCAGGTACTGTATAG